>NC_000020.11:9005728-9157244 GCF_000001405.40 Homo sapiens | reverse complement strand
TCTTATTTATCTTTTTTTTTTTTTCATATGATTTTTCTCTGTCCTTGGCTTCCAGGGGAATTCCTCCATTTGTTCATGTAGCTTAATGTGAGCATCTTGATGAATCAGAAAATGCACTGGGGAAGTTACTTCATATTAACATTGTGTGCCTTCTTCACTCCACTCCATTTAGCAGGCATTTTGGACTAAAATAGCGAAGAACAGAGGAAGAACATTGTGCAGTGACATGGACTAGTGATCCGTGAGGTCCAGCCAAGCTCCGTGTCTGCTCTCTGGGGGATAATAAGGCCTCCTGAATAATCAACTTGAGTTGATCCATCTAGTTCAACTAGTTATAAGCTCCACTAAAGCCCAAAGAGGGAAAGAAGGAAGGAAGGAAGGAAGGAAGGAAGGGAGGGAGGGAGGGAGGGAGGGAGGGAGGGAGGCAACCCTGTAACCAACATGAAGGAAAATGGTTAACAATAAAATTAATGCTGATTGCAAATGTAACCTTCAAGATTCACAGAGCCCAGTAATCCCTCAAAGAACAGATAATACGATCTGATTGCTTTTGAATGTCAAATGTACCTGAAAGAAATAGCTATGTAAATTGCCACAGCAACCTATGTACTAAGAGTCTAAGTTAATTTCTAAAACCTAAGTCAATGCCCCCTCCCCTCTCAATTCTGTCAAAATTAGACCTTTACTTCTCTAACTTTTCCATGTACAGTACTCACACCTACAGAGGCAGTTAGTCCTTCAGCATGAATATGAAACAGGTCTGCAGTGCTAGGCTACCTGGGTGCAAACCTCAGGTCTGTGCAACACTGGCATGTTACTTAACCTTTCTGTGCCTCAATTCCATCATCTCAGAATGGGACTGTAATAACACTTACCTCATAAGCCTGTTGAGAACTGTACCTAGCACATAGTTAGTGCCATGTCAGTGTTACATATTATGAGTAATGGTCATATGTGACCTGTACGTGACTTCTCGAATACATTGAGAGAGGTATTGCCCATTTTATGGATGAGGAGACTGCATGTTTCCAGTGTTAAAGAGCTGCCCACAGGACTTCCAGAAACAATCTGGAGATGAAGAACAGAAGTACCCATGGCAGATGACTGAAGAAGCACTGAAAGTGTACAGAAAAAAGGTCTTCTTAGTGACCATCATAATTTTTTAAGTGTTGATAGCTTATGCATACATTGCACAGTCTATGACTGGAAGAATTTAACAGACTAAGACAACGGATATTGACCTATAAAGAGAAGTTCTCCACGATGTTTGCTATTGGCTGTCTCAAAACACTCTCTCCTCACTCGTAACTTATTGTCCATACTGTATTTACTTGTCTTGTGTGTTCTGGAGGCACACACAAAAAAAAGTGAGAAAGAGCTAAAGTGGGCACGATGTAGGTATAGTCTATGAGGTTATGTTTATGCCACATGTCTTACTCCCTGGGAGTTTAGCTACAGAGCACAAAGGAAATGGGGCATCACTATTGTCCCAAAAAACATCAAGTGAGATCAGGAAACCCACCCACTCAGAAGTCTTATTCACCAGCTGGTGGTTTCACTGAGCTTTGAGGATCCCAACACACTGAGGCAGGTAAAGACAACTGATTTAATCCCATCAACCTAGCTGCCATCGTGTTCAATGAACAGAAATTTTAACTGGGTGAGTTTGTGGAAACAGAGAAAGAAAAGGTACAGAAAGAATCAAGCATCCATACAAATTAAGCTTTTCCTCCCTGGGACACTGCAGTAGATTGACAGCTAAAAAGGCCCTGAATCTCAAGTTCTTCAGCTTTCCACACCCTTTGTAAAGTGACTTTGCAGCTCTTTTCAACAAAGAATTGAGTCTTCACAATTCACAATTGCAAAGATGTGGAACCAACCTAAGTGCCCATCAACTAATGAATGGATAAAGAAAATGTGGTACATATACACCATGGAATACTATTCAGCCATTAAAAGGAACAAAATAATGTCTTTTGCAGCAACTTGGATGGCGCTGGAGACATTATTCTAAATCAAGTAACACAGGAGTGGAAAATCAAAAACCACATGTTCTCACTTATAAGAGGGAGCTAAGCTATAAGTAAGCAAAGGCATAGAGAGTGATATAATGGACTTTACAGACTCAGAAGGGGAAGGGTGGGAGGGGGGCCAGGGGCAAAAAACTACCTATTAAGTACAATGTACACTGCTTGTGTGATAGGTGCACTAAAATCTCAGAATTCACCACTACATAATTCATCCATGTAACCAAAAACCACTTGTACCCCAAAAGCAGAAGGAAGGAAGGAAGGAAGGAAGGAAGGAAGGAAGGAAGGAAGGAAGGAAGGAAGGAAGGAGGGAAGGAGGGAAGGAGGGAAGGAAAGAAGGAAGGAAGGGAGGGAGAGAGGGAGGGAAAAAGGAAGGAAAGAAGGGAGGGAAAGGAAAGGAAAGGAAAAGAAAGGAAAGGAAAGAGGGAAAGGAAAGGAGGGAGGGAAAGGAAAGGAGGGAGGGAAAGGAAAGGAGGGAGGGAGGGAGAGGGTTGTGGGAGAGGTGGTCAAATAAATGTGGAAAATGTTGTAGCTCCTAGACTCTGCTAAGATCTGGTACAGTGCATGGTATATGGTAGCTGATCAATATCTGTTGAATGACATAAAGTGTGCTTCTCCAAACACTGTTTCCCCCAGGAAAGGGGGCCAGAGTGAAGCAGATTTAGGAGCTGTGTATGTTCATTATGCACACCAGCCACAGACGACTGAGCATTATTAGAGAAACACACACCAACAAAATTCACCTTTTAATGTTAACTCCATCATTTCAAAACTTTTGGTTGTGGCATTAGTATTCCAATCCCAAATGTAGCAGAAATTGCCAGTTATAACTCAATAGTCATTCTCCTCTCCATCATCAGTAAGAGAGCCCCAATTTTATTCAGGCAGTTGCCCAAAACAAGACTACATTTCCCAGGCTCTCCTGCACTGAGATGTGACCATGTGACCAAATATTGGTCAAGAAAAATTTTTTTAAAGTGTTATATGGAACTTAAGAGTAAGATGACAAAAATGGCAGGAGATGCCTCAACTAAAAGGATTCCTTTCTTCTCTCTAATCCCTCCTCGCTGCACATGTGCACTGTGGACCTGATGGCCTAAACCGAACTTTGCCCAAGTGACCAATGGAAAATGGAAAGATCAAGATAGTGGACCAGAAAGATGGGAGTCTGGGATCCTGATCTGACTGGAATATCATGCAGCTTCCTAACTTCTCATCAGTACCATGTAGCCTATTTTGAAAAATTACTTTTTCCTACAGAAAAGGAGTCATTACTTTTATTTCAATAAAAAGAAATAATGACCGGATTTGCTCTGTTCTCCAAAAATAATGCTGAACACCTACATACCTAAATGCCCACCTTGTTTGCAAAATTTTGGTTGATTATAATAATCATTTCC
This sequence comes from Homo sapiens, assembly GCF_000001405.40. Taxonomy (NCBI): domain Eukaryota; kingdom Metazoa; phylum Chordata; class Mammalia; order Primates; family Hominidae; genus Homo; species Homo sapiens. The sequence continues at coordinate 9,153,814 of NC_000020.11, read as the reverse complement.
TGATGAAGAATGGAGAGCCAAATACTAGGAAGAAAGAACACTGAGTGAATTCACCTATGCACCTTATTCCTCCCCTTATCGTATCACTCACTGAATGAAAACGTACCTGGGCCACCCACTTTGACTTTCCCTTGTGGCTCCTCTTTAAACATCCAATTACAAATAAATTTAAAGCCATTGTATTAGTTTGTTTTCATGCTGATGATAAAGACATATCCGAGACCGGGAAGAAAAAAAGGTTTAATTGGACTTACAGTTCCACATGGTTAGGGAGGCCTCAGAATCATGGCGGGAGGTTGAAAGGCACTTCTTACATGGCAGCAGCAAGAGAAAATGAGGAAGAAGCAAGAGTGGGAACCCCTGATAAACCCATCAGATCTCAAGATGTATTCACTATCAAGAGAATAACACGGCAAAGACCAACCCCCATGATTTAATTACCTCCCCCTGGGACACTCCCACAAGACATGGGAATTCTGGGAGACACAATTCAAGTTGAGTTTTGGATGGGGACACAGGCAAACAAAATCATTCCACCCTTGGCCCCTCCAAATCACATGTCCTTACATTTCAAACCCAATCATGCCTTCCCAACAGCCCCCCAAAGTCTTAACTCATTTCAGCATCAACCCAAAGTCCACAGTTCAAAGTCTCATCTGAGATAAGGCAAGTCACTTCTGCCTATGAGCCTGTAAAATCAAAAGCAAGCTAGTTACTTCCTAGATAGTGAGGGTACAAGTATTGGGTAAATACAGCTGTTCCAAATAGGAGGCATTGGCCAAAACGAAGGGGTTACAGGGCCGATACAAGTCTGAAATCCAGCAGAGCTGTCAAATGTTAAAGCTCCAAAATGATCTCCTTTGACTCCAGGTCTCACACCCAGGTCACATTGATACAAGAGATATGTTCCCATGGTCTTGGGCAGCTCCACCCCTACGGCTTTGCAGGGTACAGCCTCCCTCCCAGATGCTTTCATGGGCTGGCATTGAGTGTTTGTTTGCAGCTTTTCCAGGCACATGGTGCAAGCTGTCAGTAGGTCTACCATTTTGGGGTCTGGAGGATAGTGGCCTTCTTCCCACAACTCCACTAGGCAGTGCCCCAGTAGGGTATCTGTGTGAGGACTCTGACCCCATTCCCTTCCACGATGCCCTAGCAGAAGTTCTCCATGAAGTTCCCCGCCCCTGCAGCAAACTTTTGCCTGGGCATACAGGCATTTCCGTACATCTTCTGAAATCTAGGTGAAGTTTCCCAAACCTCAGTGCTTGACTTCTGTGCACCCACAGGCTCAACACAACATGGAAGCTGCCAAGGCTTAGGGCTTCTACACTTTGAAGCCACAGCCCAAGCTCTATGTTAGCCCCTTTCAGCCATGGCTGGAGCAGCTTGGACACAAGGCACTATGTCCCTAGGCTGTACACCACACAGGGACACTGGGCCCGGCCCATGAAATCATTTTTTCCTCCTAGACCTCTGGGTCTGTGATGGGAAGGGCTGCTGTGAAGGTCTCTGATATGGCCTGGAGACATTTTCTCCATGGTCTTGGGGATTAACATTAGGCTCCTTGCTACTTATGCAAATTTCTGTAGCCAGCTTGAATTTCTCCCCAGAAAATGGGTTTTTCTTTTCTGTCACAGTCAGTTTGCAAATTTTCCAAACTTTTATGCTCTGCTTCCCTTATAAAACTGAAAGCCTTTAACAGCATCCAAGTCACCTCTTGAATGCTGAGCTGCTTGGAAATTTCTTCCACCAGATACCGTATATTATCTCTCTCAAGTTTAAAGTTCCACAGATCTCTAAGGCAGGGGCAAAATGCTGCCATTCTCTTTGCCAAAACATAATAAGAGTCACCTTTGCTCCAGTTCCCAACAAGTTCCTCATCTCCAACTGAGATCACCTCAGCCTGGATTTTATTGTCTATATCACTATCAGCATTTTGGGCAAAGCCATTCAACAAGTCTCTAGGAAGTTCCAAACTTTCCCACATTTTCCTATCTTCTTCTGAGCCCTTCAAACTGTTCCAATCTCTGCCTGTTACCCAGTTCCAAAGTCACTTCCATATTTTCGGGTATCTTTTCAGCAACGCCCCACTCTACTGGTACCAATTTACTGTATTAGTTTGTTTTCACACTGCTGATAAAGACATATCCAAGACCGGGAAGAAAAAAAGGTTTAATTGGACTTACAGTTCCACATGGCTGGGGAGGCCTCAGAATCATGGCGGGAGGCTGAAAGGCACTTCTAACATGGCAGCAGCAAGAGAAAATGAGGAAGAAGCAAAAGTGGAAACCCCTGATAAACCCATCAGATTTCATGAGACTTATTCACTACCATGAGAATAACACAGCAAAGACCAACCCCCATGATTTAATTACCTCCCCCTGGGTCCCTCCCACCACATGTGGGAATTCTGGGTGATAAAATTTAGTTGAGATTTGGATGGGGACATAGCCAAACCATATCAGCCATCCCTCAGTATCTGTAAGGGAATGGTTCCAGGATCCCCCACAGGTACCAAAACTCACAGATGCTCAAGTCCCTTATATAAAATGGCATAATATTTGTATATAACCTATGCACGTTCTCCCATATACTTGAAACCATCACTGGAGTACTTATAATACCCAATACAATGTAAATGCTACATAAATATTTGTTATGCTGTTTTTATTTATACTATTTTTATTGTTGTATTGTTAAATTTTTTGAATATTTTCTATCCGAGCTTAGTTGAATCCATGGATGCAGAACTGGCAGATATGGAGGGCCTACTGTATTTGTTTAGATTGTTTCCTCAGGGAAACCCAGAAATTAAATCACTTTGCCAACAAGGCCAGAAAAACAAATCATTTGTGTTGTGGCTGAGCCATAAGGCTCCCATCATAAACACAAGCAGAGCCTGCACAGCTTTGCTCTCACAAAGCCATTTGGGGGAAGATTTTTATGGCAACAGCTGAAATGTTTCTACCAAAACAACACCTACACTTTGCTAGAGTTATTTTCGGAGGAGAAGGTTTCCCCTACTGCTGCTTAAATCGTCCAAATGTGTAGTGAAAAGCCTAGGCTCGCAGTGAATCTGGCAGCCCTGGCAGGAGAACTTCTCTGCCACTTCTTGGCTGGGTGACCTGGGGCAGGTCACTTAACTTCACTGACCTCAGGCCTCCTTCTAAACTAGGAATCTCAGCACCTTAGAGTCATCCTGAGAACTGACGAGACGATGCATGTTTAGCACCATGGCTACATAGTAAGTATTCAAAAAATGGAAGCTGCATTGATTTGTACCAAATTTGATGCTAAATACCTTGAATACCTTAAGGAATAAAGATACAAGAACCTATGGGTAAGCCATATTTAAAGACACCACATTAAAAGTCATAGGAAAGTACAAATGTGCATGACAGTATATGTATACAAATCATGGAACCCTATTTATCCCAGACCACTTACTCTGCTTTTCCTCAACTCTTTAGGACTGGGTTATGGAGAAGAAATCAGTCAAAACTCTCAGAATAGCTACACTAGACATCATAAAGTCCACTAACTGAAACTTCTGTATTTAATTCATCAATAATGTTAACTAATAGTGTTGAGCATTCACCAAGTGGTACGCACCTAGCAAGGCATTTCTTATGGTTTAATCACTGTATTTATCTTTCACATTACACACCTGGATATAGGTCATGGACACTGTGATGTGACGCCCAGACACTGCTTCAGGACTGAAGAATTGATTCCTTGCTACTATGAGTGATGCAGGCAGAATGCCCTCAACTGTCAGTCCTCTCTGGAAAATTCCCTCAGCTGGAGGAAGCTGTTCCATTCACGGTCAACTGCCTCCAATGGTCAACATCAGTGAATAAGCGCCCAACCTGCTTCAGAGGGTTAACTAAGGCTCTTGTTAAGATTGCACTGCAGTTCAACTTCTCCCTCTGCCCAGTCCTGAATCCGTCCTTTCCCCTCCACAGATGTTAATCTGAAGAGTATTTGAGAATAAACAAACCTCTGCACACCAACCTCCAGTTGGGAGTTTGTTTCCCAGGAAACTCATATTGAGACAACTTAGGTACTGAAATTACTTTCATTTTTTTAGATTAAAAAGTCAGTCTCAGGTTAAGAAACTTGCCCAGAGTCACATAGCCAATGAGTAGCATAGCCAGGACTACGATGCAAACATTCTAACACCAGAGCGCAGGCTCAAAACCACTGTGCTCTATTGCTTAAAAGAGTTTCCATTGTTATGTCCAATGAAATAAACTGCATAACGTGGATGTCACCTGCACAGTACGTTGCAAGAAGCAAATCAGGAGGGAAGTAAGGGTTGCAAGAGAAGGCAAATTCAATAAATCGTTATTAGTCAAAGTCAACCAGAACACAGAAACTACTCTAGGTCTTTCAAATCAGGTGACTTGTTACAGATGTGAGAATGACTGACAGACCACAGAGGGACAGTGAAGCAGCCCAGAGACTAGCAACTGAGGAGAGCTGCTATCTTCCCTAACAGGTGGGATAATGGAAGGATGTGACGTTATCAGAGCCTAGAGGCTAGAGCCAACTGACAGAGACCAGGGCAACAGCCGTGGAGATCAGGCTGCTGTGGAGAAAAGGGGAGTCTGGTGAGAGCTGATTGGAAGAGACACATGGAAGAGACACATGTGTTCCTAGAGATACCAAAGAAAGCAGAGAGGCAGAGAAAGGCACCCTGACCTCTCTCTCTTCTGGCCCTCCAGTTTTCCACCAGTGCTTCCTGTTGGCTACACCTACCTGGAGGCCAGAGGGCAAGGGAACCCTCTGAAAACAAACAAGGAATACAAGAATTTAGAAAGCAGATCTGTCTAAAGCCAAGTGGCCCACATACTCCAGAAACCCAAGCAAACAATAACAACACCTTACACTTACATGGCTCTTTACAAGGCATGTTTCTATATTACTGCACAGTTCAATAACTGATGTCTAAAAGGATGAGGCTGGAAGTTTCAATTATTCTGTTTATTAAATCAGGGAAACACATCTGTTGGACCAGAAATATTTCCATCACGAAAACAGCTACTTTGACAGTGCTAAATGGTTAGGATTTCATTATCAAAATTTTACTTATGTAGCACAGATTGTTCCCTACCAATGTCAGGTAAGTTAGGTGTTAATGTGCCAGCTATTCTAGAAGGCTGGGTCTGCCTTCACAATTGTATCTTCTGTTTGATAAAGAAGGAGCTAGAACACAAATTCTTACTCTCCGCTCAGAAGTCCTCTGTTGACTTCCCTGATGCAGGAGAAATTCTTGGGGCGAGGGAAGAGACAGGAGAAAAAAAAATCTGAAAACGAAACTCTATTACCAAGGATCTCCAGCCACAGTATTTCAGTAATCACTCAATGCTTAACTATCCTTACCCTTTGCCCTTTGTGAGACATCTAACAAGGCATGACTACTCTCTATTCTTCCTATTTCAAAAATCATTTATATTTCATTTCCTCCAGGAGGAATGTGATTTGTTCCTATATAAAGATTGCAAATACATTTCAGTCCCTTCCACCCCACAACAAAGCTTCTTTGAGGTAATTAAAACTCAATTGGCTTGAGAATCTGGGTTCAAGGCCCAGATTTGCTTCTAGATAGCTGTTTGGATTGAAGGAGCCCAATTAACCTCTCTGGGACTGTCTCCTTCACGACTGCCAACACGATGCAACTAGAACTAGATGATGTCCACAATCCTTTCAGCCTTCAATGAAATAATTCCATAGAAAAACAATAAAGACCTGTGCAGACCCAGATGAACTCTCTCTTCCTTGACATGGCTCAGACATCTATTTGTGAGGCTGCTTATCAGTATCAAAAGTACAGTCCTGTGGCCATGGCATGGAGAAAAGTCTGACCTCATTCCTTGCTCAATTGACTGTAATCTCATCCTGCAATTTCTAAGTTGGGATCTAGGATAGTCTGACTGCAAAAAGAGCACAATTCTCCCTCCCTGTAACCACAGTCTCGGCTACGTAACTTTGTGGTGCCATTCTCACTCTAGAATTGGCTGTGTGACTTCCTTTGGCCAATGGAAATATTAGCACACATGATGCAAAGAAAGGCTTGAAAAGTGCTTGCACAACTGAGTTTGTTCTCATTCTTGCTCCTCTGCCATAGCCAGGAGTATATGCTAGGTCTAGTATCTTAGGATGAGACACATATTTAGCAGGGATGAGTCACCCTGATCTAGCATAGATGTTAGCTATGCCACCCTAGGTCAGCTAACAGCTAGCTGAGCCCCTAGACATATGAACTAACCCAGCGCTGCCTGCCCAACCCATAGCTGAGCACAGACACATGAATGAGATCAGCTGAAATCAGTCAAGCATTGAGCAGCTGAACCCCCCGAAACTTACAGGCTAAATACATATATGTTATTCTATTCCACTGCAGTTTTGTGGTTGCTTATTATGCAGCATTATTGTGGCAAAAGGAAACGGATACATATTCCTTGGAATACTAGTCCTTAGCCAGACTGTAATGACTACTTTTGGAACAAAGGTTCCTTAGTTGTGAAACAAGTTGATGACATCCTATGCACCTTAACATACATTAATGTCTTTAAGGATCTAGAAGCCCCACAATAAAGAAGTCTATTTAACTTTGTCTAACCCATATTTCCCACAACCTATTTTACCATAGACCTCCAAGTATGATTCCCTAATCGGATTCTCCCCTAGCCTTAGACCCCAATTCTGGGTTGAACCTCTATCCAATCTTTTTGCCAATCAGGCCACGTCTTTTATTTTCTCTCACAAGATGATTAGTGGACTCTTCAAAAGCAAATTAACAAAACACCTTAAGAGGAGGACTTTGATATCACAAAAGCTTACATTGTTTATAAGCAAAGTTTAATAAGAAATAAAAGATAAATGTTCCAAAAATATCTGAAATCCACATATGGTCTAATTTCAGCTCTCTTCTATTTACACTTAAACAAAAGCATAATGCTGACCTCGCCAATTCCTTCCTCAGCATTCTTCAGAGGCTCCCCATTGCCATCCTCTTATTATAATTGCTTTTAAAAACTAACTGAGAAGCCATCAGGCTGAGATGGCTCCGGCACCTTGGGTTCCTAAGTAAGTAAACCAAAACCTAATCAATGTGAGTCAAAATACCATGTAAAGAGTCAGAAACTACCAATTAACCTCTAACTAGGGACTTTCCACTTTAACCAAATACTTTTGTCTTGCTTCCTAGAACACCTTATAAAAATGTTCCCCTTGTGCCCTTTCAGCGGAGCCCTGAACCACTTACTACCTGATGCTGCCCAATTCATGAATTACTATCTACACGAATAAATTCTTTAAAATGTTAATGTGACTATTTTACCTTTTAACACAGTTTACAAGCCTTCACTGACCTGGTCCCTGATTCCTTATCCATTTTATCTCCTTTCTCCCTCACCCCTAGTCTTGTGTGTACATGCTATCCATCCTGATCTACTTTTAATACCATCAAATGGGCCATGAGCTACTGCTCTGAAACTCCAGAGTTTGGTCATATTTGAGGTGAACCTGAATCATGCAGCTTTGAAATAAGGTGATACAAAAGCACTAATATTGTCTCACATTAATTTGGATCTATGTAGGCACCCCCACCGAAACAATTCTTCAAGAATTGTAGTTTTGATGCTGGCTGGGGCAGAGGAAACTCTAAACTCTGTTTACAGAGTGGCCACAGGGCCATGTTAGCTGGTAAATGAAAATATCCACCATCTTTTGACAGAATTATTTTGAATCATGGGAGTTCCAAATTTGCAAGAACTTTAGAAATACAACCCTCACATAAAATATGACCTCTAGAACATGGAGTTTCTTCTGCTGGAAATTCTTCCTCATTGCTTAACCACACTCTAGCCCAAACATGCAGTTCTTCCAGCTAACTTCAATTTGCCCTTTATGTATCAGTTGAGACAGTACTGCTTCCTGGAAGCTTTCCCTAAAACCCCCAAAAACAGGTCACAAGACCTCTCCCCAAGACAGAATTTACCTGATATTAACATTTTCCCACTGTAAATGCCTGGCATTTATTCTAGACTCTTTGATAGGAGAGATCCTTGCTATTCCAATTTAGGTGGCTCACAGATGATCAATGAATATTGCATGGTTGGGTGCGTGAATGGAAAGATAAATGGATAGATGGAAGATGAAATGAACGAATGGGAAGCCACACTAAATATATGACTGATTTTTGCTGAACATTCTCTCCCTATCCTCTCCCCTGCCCAACCTCAAGAAAAGATAATTACAAACACTAGGCAACAGCAGGGGAAAGAAGACCAAAAAAAAAAAAGAACTTTGATAATTGTATCAGCAGGATAAGAGTGATCATTATGAATTTTGAATTAATGTAGACACATTTTTTTGATGTGAGAGCACTTGTCAAAAATATAAAACACACCCAGAATAAAAGTAGGATGCAGTAGTGGCTTTTCCTAATAAAAATAAAATTTGCTGAAGATGCATCTTTTATTTTTTAGAGAAAAACATTTTAACTCATTTGTTGAGAGTGAAGGATTCACTCCAAGAATTGTGCTATGTAATGAATGTGGCCTCTTTGACACAGGAAACAAAGGTGCAGTGAAGGACTTTCTTAAGAGCTCAGTGGTTCAGATTTCCTGCTTCTCATCACAAAAACATACTGGAGAAATATTTTTGTTTTCACTCACTTTCACCTTGGATACATTTCACTATCTCAGTTACCCCAGTTGTCCTCTTTAATGAGGACAGAAATGAGTGCAAACACAGCTAAGATGGTTTAAAACCAAAAAAGCCTTCATCTCTGATGTTTCTTCTCACATGGCTTTGGATCCCAGACTGAAAACACAATATACCTCCGGCACTTTTAGGCAGAGCTAGGAAAATAGCTCTGCCACTGATTTTAAACATCCTCCTAACTGACACCATGGAGAAGTCTTAGGCAATGTTACATGAATGATCTTTTGGCTGCGTATGTGTATGGCCTTGTTCTCTGGGACTTAATTTTATTTGAACTTCCTTCTCCTTCTCCTCCTACCCCTCCTCCCCCTCATTCCCCTCCTTCCCCTCCTTCCCCTCCTTCCCCTCCTTCCCCTCCTTCCCCTTCTTCCCCTTCTTCCCCTCCTTCCCCTCCTCCCCCTCCTTCCCCCTCCTCCTCCTCCTTCTTTCTTCTTCTTCTTTTCTTTTTTTCTTTTGTAGAGATTAGGTCTCATTTTGTTGCTCAAGCTGGTCTTGAACTCCTGGGCTTAAGCAATCCTCCAGCCTTGGACTCCTGAGCCACCACACCAGCCTTTAACTTTCTTTAAACCCCTTAGATACTATATCTGCAAAGGGCTGTATAGTATTTTCACTAGCTAGAAAAATCCAAAACAATTTTCTATGGATTGTTTTAACCTTAAAGTTAAGCAAAGGTGTAATCTGCTGCTTATGTTTTTCAGGTTCCTTTGTGTCATATTTCCCTATTGTTTGAACTCTTTTAAAAAGTCCCACATAAAAGTACAAGCAAGAACCTAGCCATTAGTTGTATCTATCAACAAACACATCAATGGTCATACCAGGAAACACAGTAGTTGGTTCTCCCAGACATCAACCTTAAAGATGTGGTACAGCCCAGCTTCTCCAAGCAGTTCTGTCCTTCAGAAACTTACTAAACTTTCAAGAATTTATTTCTGCCTCCTACAGCTTGTTTTTTCTGCATGCGTTATTTCAAAACACATCTGCATCCCCTGGGAAAAGATAAAAGTGATACCAAATAAAACTAAAAGCAAACTTCAGAAAGACTTCTCAAGGAAATGCTCCCAAATAAAGAGTAATTTCTTCACTTTGTTCTTTTCTTTCTCCCTTTAACTCTCCAACAAAGTTAAGTCCCTCAAGACTGTTTATTCTTCTCATTTATAAAAGCATCCACCAGGTAACCAAATTAAGATCCCTTTTGCAGAAGGAAGCCCAGCAAGCTAGTCCCCTGATACTATGAAGCCATAGCCACCAGGATTCCCACAAAGCACAAGTGTATCCACCCTGCATTTCTTGCCAATGCTGTTCCTTAATTGGCCATGAATAGTTACAGTCAGCCCCAGCAATTTCTGTACCCTGTATAGTATAATCTCCTAAAACATCAGCTGAGAGTTTAAAAGCCAAATTTTTAAATAGCATCCAATTAATAATCATAGTAATAATGAAAGAATTGCCAAACTGCAATGTGAATTCTGAAGTCGAAAGTGGAGGCTAAGCTAAATGCACCAAAACTATCCTTCCACCATCCCTCCCCTCCACCGTTTTTTAAATGTTACATTTAGTACTGAAACTTTCTGGAACTAGCTAATGTGAAATGTTAGGATTTTATATTTCAGGTTCTATTTGCTTATTCAACATTTACTGAGCACTGACTATGCCTGAATATAAAGATAGAAATTATTGACAGCTGATCTCAAGGAAATCAAAATTCCACTCAAAAAGAAGTTTCTAACAGCATTTGTTTCATTCACTCAACAAATGTTTACTACTAAGTACCTGCACTGTTCTAGGCATTGAAGATGTCCATGCATGATACAGACAGAAATCTCTGCTGTCATGGAACTTCAATTTTAAAGAGGGAGATGGACAACAAACGAGTCAGCCAATGGTCTAGATATTAGAAGACACTAAAGGTTATGGAGGAAAAAGACTAAAGTAAGGAAAGGGACAGGTACAAGTCACAGGGATGGCAACACTAAAAGAAAGGCCCCAATTGGCAAAGATTTGAAGGAGGTGAGGAACAAGTCCTGCAGATATTGTAAAGAAGTTTCCAGGCAGAGGGAGAACGTGCAAAGGCCCTGGGGCAGCCATGCCCAGTGTGTGTAAGGAAAAGCAGTTGGCAAGGTAAGCCAACATGGAGTGAACAAAGGAGAAGGTAGTAACAGATGAAGTCAGAGATTAAGAGGAAGGGATCGTGCCAGGCCCTTGGGGCCCTTGTGAGTGCTTTGGCTTACTCTCTGAATGAGGTGGGAAACCATTTAGACTAGGAGCAGGGCAACGTGATCTGATATCTATTTCAGAGCATCATTTGGGCTGCTGTGTTGAGAACAGACTGCAGATGGGCAAGGGCTCAAGCAGGAACAGACAAGCTCCAAGGCTACTGCAGAATCCAGGTGAAGAAGGGTGATGACTGGACCAGAAGGTAGTGATACCAGCAATACAAACTGCTTAAATTTGGGATATGTTGTGAATGTAGAACAACATAATTTACTGTTGAATTAGATGTCAGTATCTGAAGATATGGGACATTCTTTTTTCACTTCCCTGCTTAAAATGCCTAGTAAAACTCCCAAGTTTGTGTTCATTGGATTTATTTAATCCAACAGCATCTAATGATGCACTCATTTGCACCTCCAGCCTTTATCTTTCAACCAACCCACAGTTATTTAACATTGCTTATAAGCTATTCCATTCCTCTGGTCCACACAACCTTGGCGTGACCATCCATTTCCAATCTTTGTACTGGTGATCATGGAAATAATTTTCCCAGATTCAAGATCCCTTTATTTCTTCCTTCTTTGTATTCCTCACTATGAATCCAGACATGAAAATCCACCCATTCTTCCTCTGAACCCATTTTGTGCACTTCCCTCTCTCTTAATTTCTATCACCACCCTTGTGGTGCTGACCACAACATCTCCCAGGAGGTGTCTCTGGCTCCAGCCTCTTCCTCATCAAAACTACCTCACCAACTGCAAAGGAAATAATGTTCCAAATCACAGGTTTTATGATATGACTTCCTCTGCTTGCAAGCATTCCACCTCTGCACCTGGCCTCCAAGGATCTCACTCAGTGGCTTGCCATAGCCCTCCACTCCCTAACCTCCCACCCCTACCCTGTATACCTTCACTGCCTTTGGTGTGTGAAAGGGCATTCCTGCTCCTTCTCACACTTTAACTTTCAGACATGGGGCTTTCACAGCCTAGAATGCCCTCTCCCTCTACTTTCTAGGCAACTTTTCCTAAATCTACTCATCCATGGAGATTCAGCTCAATGTCTAGCCTTTCTATAAAAACACTCCTGACTACTCCATCCCCCATTTAATTCCTATTATTCCCTTCTTATCTGATTGTTGCACTGGGACCTCATGTCATATACGCATGCCATAATTCCTGGGTAGGTATAAATTTCAAGATTATATACCAACTTGTATGTGTCTTTACACCCTCCACGGAGATACATATGGAGTGTTCAGTACATATTTACAGCATTAAATTATTTCAGGGAAATTAAGTGAACTTAAACAAGATTGCCCCCATCTTTATCTCAATCTAAAAGTGGGGATTGAAAAATCCTAGCATGCAAAGAGTGTAGAATCTTTAAATAAAACAAAATCTCAGTTATTTCCTTCTCCATCTTTATGTTTCCCATCTGGCATTTTGATTCTTTTACTAACTTACTAACTTTCTTTTTAGATAAATAGCATGCCACAGAAGAACTGGACAAAAAGTTTTGGTTAGGGTTATCTCATGGAGATTATGCTCAGAGGTGCATCCGTCATATCCCAAGCTGTAATCTAACCAATCTTTTTGGCTTGCAGCCAAACAAGATACTGGCTTCATGGGAGAACAAATAGGAATGGAATGAGTAGTTCTGGCCCAATGGTCACAAAGTTCAGCCATCACTGAGATCTCTGAGTACAGATTTAGGGCCCCATGGTGGTAGAAGCATAAAGAAAAGAAAAAGTTGGCTTTTAATCAGGCACTTATGGACCATCTCTGGGCAGGAACTCTTGCTACATTTCAAACTAACATGCAGCCTCTACCCTTAACAATAGGACTTCACTGATTCACATGGTATCACCAATGGGGATGAGCGGCAGTCCCCAATAAACTATGTCCTTATATTCCCTGAAACGAGGCTAGTCTTAACTTCTTTCATCAAGATAAATATTCTCTCCCCTTGGTCCTTTCTTCTTCAGGGCAACTACCTCTGTGTTAGTCCATTTTGCATTGCTATAAAGGAAAACCTGAGACAGAGTAATTTATAAAGAAAGATGGTTTACTTAGTTCACGGTTCCGCAGGCTGTATAAACATGGCACCAGCTTCTGGTGAGGTCTCAGGAAGCTTTTACTCATGGTGGAAGGCGAAGGGGGAGCAGGCATATCACATGGGAAGAGAGGGAGCAAGAGAGATGCCAGGCTCTTTTAAACCACCAGCTCTCACGTGAATTAATAGAACAAGAACTCACTCATTACTACGGGGAGGGCACCGAGACAGTCATGAGCGATCTGCTCCCATGACCCAAATACCTCCCACCAGGCCCCCCCTCCAACATTCGGGATCATATTTCAACTTGAGATTTGGAAGGGACAAATGACCAAACCATCTCAACTTCCAATTTTTAAATCATGCAAATAGCAAGCACTTATCAGTACCTAACAGGAGCAATGCATGGCCACTGCAGCCCTGAGGAAGACAGACACATTCCTCTGCCTTCTAGAGCCTTCAGTGGGAGGCAGATCATAATCAAGTAGCCACACTGGTATAAGGTTACAAAGTGTGATAGCAAGATGAGGGAAAAGGAGACGGACAGGGGATGTGGCTTAATCCAGGGTGTTCCATGCTCCCCTCAGGAAGTGATATTTGAGCTGAGATCTGAAGAGCAGGTTAGAAGTTAGCTGACAGATAGGGACCGGGAGAGAGGAGACAGCCTTCTTGTCTCAGGGACACAGAGCAGAAAGGAAAGACGCATATTAGACAAACTTAAAACAAAAAAGCAAAGCTGAAAAATGAGGGAGAGAATTACTCCAGAAAAAGTTAGAAGGCAAGTGTCAGGCAGAGCTCTCTGGACCATGGAAAGAAAAGTTATCTCAAGCCTCAGAGGAACGGCCAGGCACAGAGCATTCTCTCAAATAATCTTCAGAGCACTAATCCCACCTCAGCCCCTTCAAAGAAAATCTTTAATAGCACAAGACTTGGCCCTGTCAACCACAGGTGACTGGATGGTCAGCAACCAATATGAATGTCCCTTGGGAGCATTTGAACTAAGAGACACAGAGGCTATAGGCAATTCATGACGAACACTTATGAAAGTTTCCGTGAATAGTGGTGGCTGGTGACACGTGGAACATGTTGGGCCTTCTGCAAAAAAAAAATGTGGTTTTAAATGGTTTGTCACTCCTCCTGCTGGGAAGTCAAGTCTATTTCCTCTCTCCTGGAAGCTGGCCCTGTGACTGCTTTGACAGAATGCACTGGGAGTGGTCACCCAGGACTTCTGAGCCCTTGACTTAAGGGAACTGGCAACTTCCACTTTTGCACATCTATAAGCTCCCTCTTGGAAGCCAGCTCCCTCACTGTGAGAAGCCCAAGCCACATGGAAAGAAACTACATGGAACAGAACTGAGATGTTCCAGCTGGCATCCTAGCTGAACTCCCATCCAATAAACACATCAACTACTAACCATGTGAGTGAGTCCTCTTGAGCATTCCAGCTCATATGAACCCCCAGAGAATTTGAGCCCCAGCCAACACCACATGAAACAGAAGAACTGCCCAGCTGAGCCCAGTTACCACCCAGACTCATGAAAGGCACTAAATGGTGGTGGTTGTTTTAAGCCAGTAAGTTTTGGAGTGGTTTGTTAAAAAGCAAGAGATAACTAAAACAGAATATAGATAGAACATGGTTAGCAAACAAGATAAGGAAAGAATAAAACAGATAGACAAGAAGACATTCTCTGCATGACAGGGAGTATAAGCTTAATTCTGGACGTTGGCATTCTATTAATAGTTCCATGATACCTGACTGGACTTTGTTCCTCTCCCTGTACTTCATGAGACCTCAAGTTTCTAGACAATATAATGACCTTTAACATGACCATTTTAAGGGGTTTCCATTTACAAAGGCTTTGACTATAATACCCATGTACTATAGTTACCATTTTGCTCATGCCTCTGGAGTGGAATTCTTGTTTATCAGTTTCCTACTTAGTAAGCAGCACTCAAAAATTCATTGCATCTATAACTGTTGTAATGATAAGACAGTCTTCATCAATTAGCCCACCTTATAACATCAAGACTGCTGACCCCTTAAGCTTTAGGGACTAGAATAATTAGAAGGAATAAGGCACAAATATCTCTTATGGTTGGTGTATCCAGATATGTTCTGCTAAACAGGTGATTGTGAAGTATGGATGCTAATATAATCATTAGAAATAGAAAAGGCAATCCACCATATTTCCAAGCAACCCATCATATTTTCATATTTTAGGTAATTCTATGGTGATAGAAGGTAATTGTGTAATGGCAAATTTAGTATAAGTGCACACAAATCTGAGCAAAGCTGTGTAGTGACAGAAGATACCAGTGGGTCTTCTCCCTGTTTTGAGATGCTCCTGAATTAAAATCATACATTTTTCAGTATTTAAAACATGTGCTATATGATATCTAGCAATATATTTCCCACTAAATGTCTAAAGATCCCCAAAGATATTATTTTTGTTTTGTTTACACTCCCCTAATATTTTTAGAGTATATTTTAACTAATATTTTTAGTCTATATTATTTTAAGTGATGATGCATATTAAGAATCAGATTACCATTCTATCCTATGGCCGAAGTCCAGGCATTTCTCCAAAGGCCACCAACATTTCTCCCAAATCATATTTCTCACTGAATCTTCAAGCCACCAGGAAATGCACACCTTCCTTCATGCCATTCCTCCTCTTATCTTCCTGATACGTTCATTATCATCCTTCAAGACCCAACTCAATGTCACTTGCTCTATGAAACATTTCTGTCATTCACTAACCTCTCTGCCTTTTCTTGACAGACTTACTTATAAATCCTCATTTATATGCACGTAAAATTCTCTACATACTTATAACACTTAAAAATATTTGTCACAAGTATTTGTTTGGGCTTCTATTTTCCAAACTACATTGTGATTTCCTTGAAAGCAATGATCAAATATCATTCATTATTGAGTTAATGGTACTTAAGCAAAGTGCCTGAATCACAAGAGGCCCTCTGTAAATACATACAGAATGGGTGTTTTCTGTTGCTAGCCCCTTATTCTAAGCAGCTTGAAATGCCTTTCACACCAACTTAAAAAAAAAAAAAAAAACTTGAGAAAAATAAATTATAACCCATTAAAGGGATGAGAAACATAAGGAATTAAGGGGAAAATACTTACTTATCTAAAATTAGCACACATGAGAGAAATCTCTGAAATTTCCAGATGGATAGATCCATTTCACCCTTCTATTTCTTTGAATTACAAATTTTCCATTTTATAGAGTTAAATACATTATAATTAACTGCATACATGGTAATAAGGCAGAATCCAATTTTCAATTCACTACCTAAACAGAGCTTCCCACAGAGCAGGAGAAAAACAGATTACCAATTACAACCTAAGGCACCCCTCCAAAAAACATCTTCTTTAGTAAGTAACCCTTCTTTGTTAATGGATCCTACATGCTGAGTATCCTTAGGGCTTGAGTACGATTTATGCCTCATTATCTTATACCTTCATAACATCTCTAGCTGTTTCATTTCATCTGATTCTGTCTAGAGAGTAAATGCCTCAAAGATGTTACCTCGGTCAGGGTCCCAGCAGGAAACAGATGGAACACTCAAACGGGGCAACAAGGGAGTTTAATAAGAGGTTATTTACCAGGTGTGGGCAGGGATTAGGGAAACCATGCAGGGAATATGACGTGTCCTAGGCCTGAAGGAGTAAGAGGACAGAGCTACAGAAACCAAGAATAGTATTAGAACGACAGAAGAGATCTTCCTGGTCGACTGTGGCTTCTAGGAGGGGGACAGAGTCAACCAACAGCATGTTGGCAAGAAGAGACCCGGGAGTCTCTTAAGCAACTGACCTCACAGTTCTCCTCCCTCCAGTCTCCTCTAGAAGCTCCCACTGCCTGAACCCATTCTAAAGCCAGAGGGCAAGGAAGCTCACCAATGTTGCAATTAATGCCCAGCCTCAGGAGAGTAGGCTGGAGAAAGTGAAGAGTGACTCTCAAGGGGCAAACAGAATATCCAACACTGATGGTATCAGTTTCAATATTTATTTCTCAGCTCTATCCTTCCCATATGAAAGCAGTAAGTATATGATGGAAAGAGGAAAGAGCAAAGACAAGGTGTTTGTCATATTGGAATCGACTGTGTGTAGAATATGCACTTACACCCATTTGCAATTCTTTCTGAGTGCACACAGAAGTTGCCAGTGATCTGCCAATCCCTCCACATTCCCACTGATTCAGTTATCAACCACACTTAAAAAGCCTTCCTCTAGGAACTGAAACCCTCTTTTGTAGACTTTTCAGCTACAAGTGCAAGGAGTAAGGCTTCCAGGAAAAGCCCCCAAGCAGTGACCTAGGAGCTGGTAAATAAATAGCCCAGCTCCTTGCCTGCCTTTCCTGTGGGACAACTCGGAAGCATATTCTACCCAGTCTCCAAAAGGGCCCCAGCACAGAGGAGCCTCAGTTGCCCACAGTGGAATCTGCTTATCGGCACACACTGTACTGGCTGACTTTCCTTCCTTATCTCACTTCCTCCACTCCCCTACGGGTGCTTCCCAGGACCACCTCCCAAGTGAGCTACTTGCACTCCAATCCTTGACTCAAACCAGCTTTGGGAGAAGCCAACCTAAGACAATGCATAACTAACAACCCACACTTCTGAAAATAGACTCACTTTAGAGTGTGAGGATATTGTGTGTGGGGTGTGTGTGTGTGTGCATTTATGTGTATAAGAAATGCTGCCTACAGTTTTTACTCTGCACTAAAGTAAAAATGTACCGACCTTGGGGTCAAAAAGTTTTGACTTCTAGTCCCCAGCTTGGCTTCAGACTAGCTCTGTAAACTTCATCAAATAATTCAACCTCCCCAGGCCTCAATTTTCTCATCTGTCAAATGAACTTAGATAAGGGGAGCTCTAAGTTTCTTGTCCAACCTAAAAGCTTGCTAAAAATTTACAGCAGTAAAAGGGACATGAATTATGTGTCCCAGTACTAGGACTTACGCACAACTCCATTCTTCAGAGGATTTTCTTAGACATAGGTAATTCAGGAAAAGCAAAATGTGCTTTTCTATACAATAGAAAAAAGAAATTTTAGAAAGTAAAGATTTAACTTATTAACCAAATGGCTATTAGATATTATTTTAATCAAATTTTCTAGGTTTGACAGCATAAATATAACCAATCATTTTAAAACTCACAAACCTTGCATAAACATCTATTGGAAACCCTCTTAACCCATTATAGGATATACCTATAAAAAATCAAGGTGGGGAAATTAGAAAAATCAAGCCTGGAAATTTCTTATAAATTAATACCCTCAAGAAACAAAGTCGTGCTTTGTAGTTCTGGCTCTGCTGTAACTTCATATGTCTCCATGGGCAAATCATTTCACCACCTCATTCCTCACACCCAACACAGCACTTCCAAGAGAGGCAGACCCAGGATATTCCATAAAAAATGATCAACCGATGAATTCAATAATTACTCTGAGCCTTAGTTGTTTTTGGTGTACAAATTGTTCTGGTTTCTTTTGCCTTTGTTTGGGGGTTAGTTTGTTTTTTCAGTGTTAATAAGGTATACTTGACAAATAAAAATTATATAATCGTTAAAGTTAAATTGTATATTTGGCTCTAGTGAGGTATACTTGACAAATAAAAACCTTGTGTGTATATAAATATATATACACACACATTGTGCAGAAGTTGGGAGGGTTGCACTATCTATATCATTTTGACCATTTCTTTCTACCCTAACATTCCCTCTTGAAATGAAACAATATAGTAATCTAAAATTCTACAGCTTAAATGATTATAATTCTTGCCTTGAAAGCTATTATCTTCTGCCAAAAGGAGCCATTCTACAGCAGTGCTTACCTACTCAATGGCAAAAGTCATTGGATCCCAAATTTTCATAAACTTTAAAAAAAATTGGTGCTTGACATACAGTGTCATGGAATGAATAAAACTACGATTTCTAGCTTTCCTATTTAAAATAATGCCAAAATTCATTCCAACCACCAAATAGGGAAGATGAGTAGAATAAATTAGACAGCTCTTTCACTTTTCTTCCTAACTAGCACATTCATAACAAGTATAACATTGGTTATCAAATAAAAAACATAAAAAGTAACAATTAGCCTCTGAGAAGGACTTTCTGGGATCATGGGGGATGCTCCTACTTTTTCTCTTAGGCAAACAGAACTGTGGGTATTGGAAACGGGAGGCAGAACAGGAACCAAAAGGAAAGTTCTAATTTTGTGTCTTTCTGGGCACACTATCTAAAAAATGGCTTCCTTCCAACTTCCACCAACATGAAGACGGGTCAGCTGCTTCTTGATGATATTTCTTCTGAGTTTCAGGGCCAAGAGGGAGAAGGATATTAAAAAAAATGGGGTTATACAATGTCATTTACCAAAAAGTTACATATTAATTAAATTAATGCAATTATAAATTTGAATGAAGTTAGAAGTACTAATTTATTACTTATGCTAAAAATTATAAAATTATTAAGTAACAGTACATTACCAAGAAGGAAAATAGTAAATTACTGTGGAAATGTTAACTTGAAGATCTATAATCTACTTTCTATATCAGTTGTCCTCAAAGTTGGATGCATAACAGAAACATGTGGGAAACTTAAAAATTCTGAAACTCAGGAAGACCAATTATACCAATAGCTCTTGGGGCTGGACACCAACAATGGTATTTTTTGAGGAACCCAGATGATACTGATGTGCAGGCAAGATTGAGAATAACTGGTCTATATTATGCTAAATTAATGTTAATGCCGCCTTGGGGCAAAAGACAGTGCCTTGAACCAGTCCTTCATTTCTCAAAAATTCTCCCCTGCCCTGGTCTTTACAGTAGGACATTTGAGGCACAAAGCTTTGTCTTCACACTCTTTGCATGTCTTACGTTGTCTCTCAAAGCTACCTGGAGTATTGTGAAGCCCACCTGGAGTTGACACTGATGTCTCCTAAAGGTTTAAAACACAAAAAGACAGAGGAAGAACCACTGTGAAGTGGCATTAAAATCATGTGCACAGGGAGAGCTGCTGTCCACAGTGCCTCCATGGGAATGATTCACCCAATGTGAGGAAAGCTCGCTGAGGGTGGGTCAGCTATCCACTTATGCAGCTTCAGCCCCTTTTCCGGTAGTGGTCTCACGCAAACATTCATTCTTTCCATCAAATACTTCCTAGCCATGTAGCCTGGTGCTAGCTCACCCTGAACTCACAAGCTTGTAGGGACAACAGATTTTAAAAAGTAATTGCAGACTGGGTGTGGTGGCTCACACCTGTAATCCCAGCACTTTGGGAGGCCAAGGTAGATGGATCACCAGAGGTCAGCAGTTCAAGACCAACCTGGCCAACAAGGTGAAACCCCACTCTAGTAAAAATGCAAAAATTTGTTGGGCATGGTGGTGTGCACCTGTAGTCCCAACTACTCGGGAGGCTGAGGCAAAAGAATTGCTTGAATCCAGGAGGCGGGGGCTGCAGTGAGCCAAGATCATGCCACTATACTCCAGCCTGGGTGACAGAGCGAGAGACCATCTCAACAACAACAAAAAAAAGTAATTGCAACTCAGTGTGATCAGAAAAACAGAAGTATGCACAAAGCACAATGATAAAACCCACAGACTATGAGAACAACATAAGCAAAGACCTAAAGGTAAGAAGATATCAAAATAGGAAGTAGTTTGCTGCTGCATAAGAAGCATACATGACAAGTATGAGCCAAAGGTCAGAGGTATGAAATTAGAAAGGGAAGCATCAGCTAGGAGTTAGGGCCTTACCCTACAGCAGTGTTTCTCAACAGAGGCACTACTGACATTTTGGGCTGGTTAATTCCTTGTTGTCGGGGGGTGGTCCTGGGCATTGTGGGATGGTTAGCAGCATCCCTGGCTTCTACTCACTAGAAAATAGTAGCATCTCTATTTTAGTCACTACAATATAGTACAGTAGTGCCCAAGTATAGTCAATAATGTCTCCAATGTCAGATGCCCCTAGAAGCAAAACTGCCCTTAGTTGAGAACCATTGCCCTAGAGGCAGTGAGGAGCTATTGTATAGGCAGAAATAAGTCAGAAATTTGCCGTTTAGAAAAAGCAATCTGATTGCAATGTAGAGAATGAAATGCAGTGGTGGGCATCGCAAACGATAAATCCAATAGAAGAATCCACATATCTGTGTCCATGCTTACAAGCACTTTTATAAGGATATCAAGAGTGTCAGCACTCTCAACTGGATCTAATTTACTAATTTATTCACCAGGCTTATGAATAAGAATCAAGTATAGTTTTTCATTATGTTAACCATCTTTACAATATGAAAACTTCCTAAAGTTGGACTCTAGGTTGTAGGACTTGGAGTCACTGCTCTTTTCTTCATAATTCTCAGTGTCTTTCACAACCTGAATGAATAAAAGAGCTATTACTCTTAAAGGTAGCTTCCTTAAGTATAACTATGTGGAAATAAAAATACTGCATGACATTCAGTTGCAAAGGTAGAAGCAGTGATCTCACAATTTAACAACCACACACACACACACACACACACAAACATTATGCCCTTGCTGACTATGCTCTTAATGGCACTATAGCATTATGAAATGCAGTCTTCTATGAGCCACAACATACACAAGGTCCCCTTTGTCCTTTTGCACAGACCATGTAAAGTAGGACATGGTTTTAGTTATCTATTGCTTTGTAACTAACTACTGTAAAACTTAGTAATTTAAAACAACAATAAATTATTCCTCACAATTCATTAAGTTGGCTGTGCTCAGCTGGGCAGTTCTTCTGTTGTAAATGGTGTAGCTGAGGTCACTCAATAGACTGCAGTCAGTTGGGAGTTTGACTGGGGCTGGAACATGCGAGACGGCCTCTCATCATTCAGGGTCTCTATCGATGTGGCCAATCACTTAATAGTCTAGTCCAAACATTTATGTAGCATCAAGGTTGGCTTCCAAGAAGCAGCATTCCAAGAAAACAAGCCCAAATGATTATCAAGCCTCTGCTTGTATCATTTTTACTAATGTCCCATCAACCAAAGGAAGTTATATGGCCAAGTCTAGAGTCAATGAGGAATATAATAGACAAGGGCATGAGTGATAGGAGGCAGAGTTCAGCAGGGTCACCAAATGTAACAGTCTACCATGGTTGGAACAGGATTTCCTTGTAAACCAGATTCTTTTGCCCAGACTTTTTGAACTACGAACCAACAGATTTATTAAAAATCAGTGACTACATATATGAATCAATCTATATCAAATTAAAACTGCAACCACCATACACGTTAGTCCCTTCCTGGGCCAAACAGAAGCACTCTGATACAGAGGCTATGCCCTTAACCACCAACTGCACTCAAAGGAGCCAATCTCATTCCTTCAACAAGTAAAGTTATTACCAGTCACAGAGATCCAATAATATCTTATTACTGAGGACCCAAGGTAAGATTCAGAGCTCAACTTTCAGGAAGCTGCCTGACTCTAGCTTTAGCTTAATATTTTGTTTCAGAAGGAGGGAGGAAAAGAAGGAAGGAAGCAAGGAAGGAAGGAAAGAAGGAGGGAAGGAAGGAAAAAGGGAGAGAAAGAGGGAAGAGAGATTGATCGATCAGTTAGTCAATTGGTTGATAAATCAATTGATGGGGCAATAGATGTACCGAAAGATTACTAGCTAAACAGAAAGAACTGATCATTCTCAGGTATCTTCAGAACAGAGCAGATCTGGCCCAGAGTAGAAAGTCAGTTATTGCTCCTTGAATTAAAAAAAAAGAGTCAAGTTATGCTATTAGTACCACCCCTAAGCATGCAATGTAACTTCACATGATGCTGTTACATGCTGGCCATGAGGCCCATGGACATGCAAGAGGCTTAGAGAGGCTGAGCTGTTTTCCCAGGAAACTCTCCGATTCCTTTCACAAAGAAGAATGGACTTCATTTTATCTGTCTAAATTAGACCTCCCCTATTTTGATGGACATAATGAATATGATGGTCTGTGTTGGCACAGAGAAACAATGACTAAGTTTGCTTTGCTTGGGCTTCATATTACTTCTTGCTTATCTGATCACAACTTCAATTCATCCTACTTTTTAAAAAGCTTATTTTTTCCAGTTACCACTGTGCTAAGTTAACAAAAAGGATTTCCAACCTCCAGTATATGAAATCAGATAAGTTTGTTCCTAACTTAAGGAGATAAATTATCATGTGCAAACGTCATCCATGGGTTTCATGGGAAAACAGTCCAAAACAGAAAACATCTGCTATGATACTCTTTCAATGACTTTAAAGAGGAAACACTTGCAGTGACATTACTGTCTATTTTCTGTAGCTGTAACTGCTTTCTACGTTGAAAGTTATTCATTTACTATAAACCAGCTAGACGACACAGCAATTAGAGTAATTTATCTTTTAAATTCAGAAGAGGAAGATCTAGGCAGACTTTTGAAGTATGCATGCATCTACTGCATCATACACAATTAAAAGATTTATTTTTGGTGTGGGGAGTGTGGAAGCTGGCTGCAGTTTTTAGAAAGGCACACATTTTCCCTTTGAAATGGTTTACTGAGTTTCTGCAGTAGCTGCCTTAAATAAGGTTGGTGTGTAAATACTTAAACTAATCTCCTACATTAACAGCTCCCAAAGATCAATGGAACTTCACACCTCCCTAGAAGCCAGACACCCCCAAAGACACTGAAGCACAGCTCTGACTTACATTGTCGGCTGCATTGCATTTTCATCTTGAGTAGCAGCTCTAGTACAAGAAACTTCATCTGTTTCTAAGCTTGCTGCTAAATACATAATTTAATATTAAAAATACAATACACAGAGAATGCCAAAATGAGCCAAGAACAACAAACTAGATACAACCAAGAGAAGCCCCAGAGGCTAAACATGGTAGCAAAAGGAAGAAACAAGAATCTATATATAGAAAACAACTATCCTATCCAACAAAAGACCTATTTGTTTGTAGAGCTGTTTTTCTTCTTTCTTCGGGATCCAGCTCCATGTATGGTAATTAAATTGGGAGAATAAGTTGTTGAGTTAGAAACGAAGCAAAAATAGAGTTTTGAAAACATGTGTATAAAATGTTACAACAAGGTTTAAATGCTCATATGAACAGATTTAATTTTATTCGGAACATCACTTGAATGGGGTGGGAAGGCAGATGTACCCCCAACTAAGAATCCACCACACATATTGAAATCTCACTGTTGCTCTCCAAAAAGAGAGTATCCCTGGGTGTAAATAGATATTCACAGTGCACCTTTTTAACTCCCTTAGATGTGTTCTCCTTTAGGCATACCTTAAGTCAGTATTTGAGAACAAGAAGTTTATTTGGGAGGAAATATTCCAGGAAACACAAGGTGACTGAGGAAAAGTGAACCAGGGAAGGAAGCCAGTATAGAATGTGATATCAAGCAGATTACCACCAAGGGTAACTGCGGTCTGATCCCACTGGGGAACTCGGGGAAATGTGAAGAATACACTTCTCCAGTTATTCCACCCCAGAAGCAAGGGACCTGGTATAGTTATACACCAATTTCTATCCTAATTGGTGGGAGGGGGACTGACTTTTCGGCCCATATGTGAGTACGGCAGGTGGTCAGAAGACACCCTCAGGTAAGAAGACACAGATGCAGGCAGTTGGAAATTGGGCATAAAAATGCTAAGTACCAAAGCAGGGATGTGAAGAGAGATTTGCACATCCATGTTCATACCAGCATTATTCACAATAGCCAAAAGGTGGAAGCAACCCAAGTGTCCATTGATGGATGAGGGATCAACAAAATGTGGTATACACATATAATGGAACAGTATTCAGCCTTAAAACACAAGGAAATTCTGACACATACTACCATATGGATGAACCTTGAGCACATCATTCTAAGTGAAATAAGCCAGACACAACAGGATAAATACTATATGACTCCACTTATATGGGGAACCTAGAGTAGTCAATTTTGCAGAGACAGAAAATAGAATGGTGGTTGCCAGGAGCTGGGGGAGGGAGGAATGGAGGTTTCTGTTCAATGGATATAGAGTTTCAGTTTTGCAAATGAAAAAGTTCTGGAGATGAATAGTAATGATGGTTGTGCAATTCTGTGAATGTACTTAATGTCACTTAACTGTTCACTTAAAAAATGGTTAAGACTGGCTGGGTGCGGTGGCTCATGCCTGTAATCCCAGCACTTTAGGAGGCCAAGGCAGTGGGTGGATCACTTGAGGTCAAGAGTTGGAGACCAGCCTGGTCAATAAGGCGAAACCCCGTTTCTACTAAAAATACAAAAATTAGCTGGGCATGGAGGTACACTCCTGTAATTCCAGCAACTTGGGAGGCAGAGGATGCAGTGAGCCAAGACTGCGCCACTGCACTCCAGCCTGGGTGACAGAGTGAGATTCTATTTCAAAAACTAATTTAAAAAAATGGTTAAGATGGTGTGTTAGTCCATTTTGGTATCTCTACAAAGAAATGCCTGAAGTTGGGTAATTTATAAAGAAAGGTTTAATTGGCTCATAGTTCTGCAGGTTGTACAAGCATGGCTCCAGCATAAGCTTCTGGTAAGGGCCTCGGGAAGTTTACAATCAAGAGGGAGCAGGTGGTGTCACATGGAAAGAGTGGGACTGAGAGAGAGAGAAGAGGGGACATACCACACTCTTTTAAACAACCGGATCTCATGTAAACTACTAGAGAAAGAACCCCTCATCCAAGAGGATAGCGCTAAGCCATTCATGAGGGATCCGTGCCCATGATCCAAACATCTCCCACCAGGCCCCACCTCCAACAATGGGGATTACATTTCAACATGAGATTTGGAGGGGACAAACATCCAAACTATATCATATCAAAAATATGGGCCGGGCGTGGTGTCTCACGTCTGTAATCCCAGCACTTTGGGAGGCCGAGGCGGGCAGATCACTTGAGGTCAGGAGTTCAAGACGAGTCTGGCCAACATGATAAAACCCCGTCTCTACTAAAAAAATACAAAAAGTAGCCGGGTGTGGTGGCAGGCACCTGTAATCCCAGCTACTCAGGAGGCAGAGGCAGGAGAATCACTTGAACCTGGGAGATGGCAGTTGCAGTGAGCCAAGATTGTGCTACTGCACTCCAGCCTGGGTGACAGAGCAAGACTCCGTTTAGATAGATGGATGGATGGATAGATAGATAGATAGATAGATAGATAGATAGATAGATAGATAGATAATTTTACCACCGTTTTTTTTAAAAGTTAAATGTTGAGTAGTATGGGCAGGGCACCTGAAGTGTCTAACAACCCACTCAAAGACCTACCTCAAAGATCTTCAAAGAGAGGCCCAAGGAAAACCATCCATAGAAATCTGGGGAAAGGGACTACTCTACTTAAAAAATCAATTTATTCACTTTTTTTCTCATTATAAGACTAATATATGATCACTGATGAAAACTTGGAAGATACATAAAAATAAAAATAAGAAATTTTTAATCATCTATTATTTTATCACAGAGGTGGCTTTCAGGATGAGCAGTATGAAGTACCTCATGCCTCCTATGTGAGGCGTGTTCCTTGAACCAAGAGAAATGGCTTTCCCTAGGAGTTTGTTAGAAATGCAGAGTCTCAGGCTCCCGGACCTGCTGCCTGGGAAGCTGCATTTTAACAAGATACTCGGGTGATTTGTGCACACCTTAGAGTTCAATGAGCATTGCTTTAACACCGCCCTTCTACTTCTGTCTATGATTTCTGAAAAGGGTTAGAGCTACTAAACCTCTAGTGCCTTGGTGGTAAAACGTCCACTCTCTTTTGTGGAAAGTAATTCCCATCTAGCTTTAAAATGAGGAAATACAGTATCTGGCACAGAGGATATGCTATGTAAGTATGTGACTTATGACTGTTAGTATTACAGGTAATGTCAACTGAAAGAAAACCAGTGGAAAGTGACAGCAAAGTAGGGCATTTTATTTTATTTTGCTGGAATAGAAAAATCTATCATAAGGCAAGCTAAAATGGTTTTCTCTCAAGACTGAATGCTTCCTTTGTGATGCAGTTCAGTATTCTTAGACTTTTTTCAGACCTCAAAAAAAAAAAAAAAAAAAGCAAATGAAATGACATGTTAAAACTTGCTCTGAATCTCTTGCATTTCCAAGGCTGCTGCTGGTTTGTTGTGCTTAATGTATTTTTTCCTTCATTCCATACCAACTTTGTAAGCAACAATAGGACTTTGTTAGCTTGTGCAATGATGCAATTATATTATAAGTGCATTAGCCCTCTCACTCACAATAAGAATCTGACTTCAGAAACAAAACACAAAATTCACTACCAAAGTAATATGTTATCATGGTAACATGTTAAAGAGTTCTTTAAATATGAAGTATACGATCTACTTTTGCTTAGATTTAAAACTTAAAATATGGAAGGAAGAGTGAAGGGGACTAGGGGAAGGAAAACAAATTGAGTCATGAAGGAGCCATATAACATTTTAAAACATATCAAACACACATCAAGAGCCTTCACATGATCATTCTTTGACCCAGTACTTCTGCTACTAGGAATTTATTCTAGGGATGTGTAAAAACACGTGTCTTCAGTGAATGACATTCCTTACAGCAATACTTAAAATAGCAATTTTTAAAAGTAAACAATGTTTACAATATTAGACAACTTGTTAAATAAACTTAATTCGTTTATAGAAAAGTAGAGTATAGCATTCAAAATAACACTTGCTTAGAAGTATATTTAGTGAAATAAAAATATTAATATTGTTTTTATTTAAAAATGCAAGTTATAAAAAGTATGGATAGTACAATCCCATTACTGTCTTTACTTTTACACACACACACATACATGCATACACACACACACAAATTTGTCCCCTTTTCTGGTCTTAATCTTCTTCACAGTGCTCATTACTACTAGACACATAGTGACCTTAGGTTAATGCCTGTCTCCCCCAACAAAGTAAACTTCAGGGAAAGAGGGGATGGTTCTGGTCACTGTCATGTCCCTATTGCCTCACATTGTGCCTGGCACATAGTAGACAAGCAACAAATATAAACTGAGAAATAAAGGACTGAACTATAATTATATGTGTATACGCATATAGAGACAGACACGAGACACTGGAAGGTAGTCCCACAAATATCAATAGGGCTATGGCTGGGTGGTAAAAATACACATCCTTTTATTTTCTCCTTATGTTGGTCTCTAGTTTCTAAATTTTATGCCATGAACCTCTAAGAAGAATAAAAGATATAAGCCCTTATTCATATATGCATGTGTGCATTCATATACATATATAAAGAGATTCTTATATTTGATTGTCTAGTAGGAATATCCCTCATTACGAGTTATATCTAAATTGCCAAGTTATACATTGGAAAAATAACACACTATTTTATTCTCTACTTTAGGTGAAGAAAATGAAATTTAAAAATGTGGAACAAGTGGTTTGAAAAAAAACACACAACTAATCCATTTTTACTTCTTACCACACACATTCATTAAGTTCCATACCAAGCATAAAATCAGAGAGTATAATATACCTTAATAAACTGCTTCTTATTTCATTAAAAATAAGTTTTTAGTTTTATGAATTGTATGTTGCATTTTGTAATTTTAGTGGAAAAATGACAGTTTCACAGGTAGAACAATACACATCCTATTGTTTTATTTTTATTATATTAAAACTAGCAATTGCTTCAGAAGGCAGCTAAACTGGATCACGGTGTTCTCATTGGTCTGAAAGCAGAATTGCCATCAAGAGACACGCCTGGTGAATTGATGGAGTCAAGCGTATTTCAGGCATTCAGAGAACATCCCTTGAAATAAATTAATGGGGCCAGGCTTAACATTACAATGCATCTATTTGAAAAGGTTTAAAATGAAATGTATTTCCTGGGCAATCTTCAATGTAACTATTTTATTTCCTTATAAGTAATATAAACACTTCATAATAAACTTTTTAAAATACAATACAGGAGATAAAAACAATTGTCAATTACAAAGATGAGACTTATCAACTAACACTGCAAAACAAAGTTCATATAAAAAGATGATACATGCAAATAAAAGCATAATGTTAAAAGGGATCAGGAATATTTCTCCCTGGGGAATGGCCAAGGGAGTTTGTGAATTGGTCACAACACTAAGACCCCCTTGGACTCTCCAGTACTTGAAACCTCACATCAGCTAATTCTCTGCCTTTTTTCTCTTATCATTGCTTGTTGCTTGTTTCTTAAATACAGTCTCTCATTCACAGTCTGTAAAGTGTTAAATCACTATTCTATAAAAGAGGTATTTTCTTTATTTGCCTTTATTCACCAATCTCACTGTGATATTTACCTCTTACAAAATATAAGATTTTACTTTTTTAGAGACAGGTCCTATTCTGTCACGCAGGCTGGAACGTACTGGCACCATCATACCTCACTGCAGCTCTGAACTCCCAGGCTCAAGGGATCCTCCCATCCCATCTCAGCCTCCCAATTAGCTGGGACTACAGGCATGTGCTACCACACCTGGGTAATTTTTATTTTTTTATTTTATTTTTGCCCAGGCTGGTCTTGAACTCCTGGGCTCAAGCAATCCTCCCACTTCAGTCTCCCGAAGTTCTGGGATTACAGGTGTGAGCTGTCTCACCCGGTTGAGATTTAATTTTGTAAATGATTTTTATTTTAATATTCTAGACCAGAGGTTGGCAAACTATAGCCTATGGGCCACATCAGGCCAGTCACCTGCTTTTGCAAAAGCCCAAGAGCTAAGATTGGTTTTTACATATTTAAATAGCTGAAAAAAATTAAAAGAAGAATAATATTTCAACTCCCATCATAATTATATGAAATTCAAAATTCAGCATACATAAATACAGATGTGTTGGAACCCAGTCCCACACACCCACTCACTTAGGTATTGCCTGTGGCTGCTTTTGTGCTACAACACTGAATAATCACAACAAACGGTATACTCCACAAAGCCCAAAATACTTTCTGGCCTTTTACAGAAAAAGTCTGCCAACTCCTGCTTGTGACAGCTACATACAACATAGATCTGTAAATAACTGTGTTATACAGGTTTTGTATACCATTTGAAAGAAATGAAGTCATTTATATAAGAAAACCTATTTTACATCTGTGATCAACAACTACCTATCTACCTACTTATCTACCTATGTTATCTTTGTAAAAGTTTGGGTGAAAGATCTGAAGAAATAATCACCAAATTGTTCATGGTAATTGCCTCTAGGGAAGATGAGAAAATGAAGAGAGAAGGTGGAATTGAACAAAATATTTTTTACTCATCTATATTGTTTATCCCAGCAAGCAGGTATTACTTCATGTTAAAAAATAAAAAGAAGAAATAAACTTTAAGGGGCACTCTTCACATACAAAATATTGACTTTAAGAACATGATAAAATTAAATAGCTGAAATATATATAAAAAAAAAAAAAGAGGAGATTTCCAGGAGTTTCTTAAAAGAGTGATATTTAGAATTGGCACATTCAAAGCAAAAGGCATCTTTAACCATGAAAAAATGTGAAATG
The DNA here is from genome assembly GCF_000001405.40 of Homo sapiens. Classification (NCBI taxonomy): domain Eukaryota; kingdom Metazoa; phylum Chordata; class Mammalia; order Primates; family Hominidae; genus Homo; species Homo sapiens. The sequence goes on along the minus strand of NC_000020.11, from coordinate 9,123,327 downwards.
TTACTCAGGCCATATTTACAAGCTGCAGTAAAATATTTTCAAAGTACACAGATTTTCAAAGGCAAATACTATTCAAAAACTAATGATAAACAGGTAGTGAAGAATATACTTTTTTTAATAGACTGTAGCTTCACTGAATCAAATGGAAATCTCCAATTTCCATCCTTCTCCTCACTCCAACATGTCAGCTGAAATTAATTCATTGCATATTTAATAAATACCTTAGTAAAGAAATGTTTTTTACTTTTTAAAATCTCTTGATTTAAAAAAATATTTTTCCCAAACTATATTGTAAAAACATAAAAATTGTATAGCTATATGCTCAAGAGTACATTTTTACTGTTTCTTATGTTTTTAATGAACACTAAAATCTTTCAGAGAACAGATACTGTATCCAGACAGGTCCATGATGCAGTACATCCTTACTGAACCACTGCATTTATAATTCAATTCCTACACATTTATAAATGTTGGCTTTTAAACTGCAAGCCCAATGGTCCCTTTAACTACACTTAGATGCACAATAATTGACAGCTCATTACAACAAGTGGTCTCAAGAGTGAAGTATAGAGCTAATGGTCTGTAAATGCTTTAGTCTCCAAACTTGGGCCAACACTGAGGCAAGTAAAATTGGTCCTTTCTTTACATGCGCGTGATTTTTAACTGCCTGCATCAAGCAAAACTGATCTCCCTACTTCTAATGTCTGAAATACTGCATATGTACATTAAGAGTGCATGGCTAGTTAATCTATATTGTCTTGTGAAATTGACTATGATGTGACAATTCCCAAGTATCCACATTGTGAAGAGGAGTAGAAATGATTTTAAAGCAATGAAACAAAACACCTAAGTATCCAGTAACAGAAGATTCCTGGGATAACTTATAATTCTTCCTGTTTTAAAGGTATGCAACCATTAAAAACCATGTTTAAAACAAAATCACGTAGGACGTAATCACAATATAATGTTAACAGAAAAAAAAACAGGATTGTATGTCCAATATAATCCCAATTTTATTTTAAAATACAGTATATAATAGGTAATGTATATAACATCGAGTTATAGTTATAGTAATTTTTGTGTGTGGTAAAACAACAGTGATCTTTATTTTTATGTTTTCCTGAATTTACAGAGTTATCTACGACAAGCACCACTTTTACAATCAGAAAGATAATATTTAAATACAATAATGTTTCTTTGTCTCTCTTCTTATCAGTATACATCAAAACTTGCCATTAAATATTAAACTAGCTAGTCCATCCACAATGAGAGAAACCAAACAACACACTCATGTTTAAATTTACCTTCAAGTGCAAACACTGACAAAAAGGAAATATTTAATAACATTTCTATTTGAAAGTCCTGAGGAAAGCAAAGTTGACAGGAATGCCGCTGGTAATAATTCGACTTGAAAACTATAATATTTTGCAGCTATAATTCACAAATTTTATAACTAAAATACATAAATTTGGTGTCAGGAATAAACATTAAATATAATCAACCTAATATAAGCAATTGGAAAACATGAAATAATTTCCATAATTGCAAGCATTGCATTGCATTTCTGAAACTGATGTCCTTTACCCATATTTGTCAGAGCTGAGTTTTGAATGAAATGAATACAGTTCATTCAAAACTTGATATTAAAGTGCTGTTTCCACTGAAGACTTGTCTTTCCCTTTCACAGGAAAACCAGCAATTCTCCCTAAAGGATTTCTGAATATTCTAGTAGTACATTTTATATCGGTGTGTTCAGTAACTGGCCTACTTGTGCTAGGAAATTATAAACAAGCCACTTCCTACATTTAGACCAGACAAAAGCTGGTCCTGCCATAGGGACAAATATTTACGACTGACTAATTGAAATTAAAGGGTGGAGAATGGACAACTCAGAAGAAACAGAAAATGGTGAGAAATTAGGGCAAAAATAGAGAACAGGTGGGACGACACGTAAGCGGCGTTCAGAGCCCTGTGGAGAAGCCAGAAGCAAGGAGAGAAAATTCTGGTCATTGTGGGTGATGGTTACTAAACAAAAAAACTAGTTAAAAAAAATAGAGAGCAAGGAATATTCCATATCAGGGACTAAGAAATTCAAGAAACATTCATCCAGGTGTTAGGTGAATTCCAAGTGCTCTCTGGGTACTGTGGTGGCCACAAAAGTGGGTCAATGGCGCACTGCCTTCTGGAAATTGACAGGTAGGGCCTCCAATGGTGTGTGGATAAAATCCAACAAAGGGAAAAGCTTTGAGACCTTCCAGAGAGATCTAAAGAGCCAGGAGATGGTCAAGACGGGTAGATCATCCCGGTGAGGGGTGTGGTGAGGTTCCAGTGTGAGGAGGGCTTCAGGGAGATGGCACTGGGGCTGAGAGCTGTGATGGCACAACAACACATGTGGGGCAAAGGACAGCTCAGGTGGGGACCTCAAGAGCAGGTGGAAACACCAAAAGAGAGCAGCTCATTTTGTTTAGGGACCATTCAGTTCAGGGAAGGCAGATAAGGCTGGGAGTGAGGTGGAGACCTCATAGCATGGAGGAGGAGGCTCCTGACGGTCTAGTTAAGGAATTTTGACATTATTCACCTGGCCGTGGAAACCCATGGAAGACTGCAGCAGGGCACCTTGGGATCAGAATGGTGCTTCCAGAAGGTGAGTGGAGGTGAGCTTGGGTCAAGGGAGTGCAGGAACATATGGGGAAACCCATTAGGAAGCAAATGACACTCTGCAGATGAGAAGTAGTATTGACCCAGACAATGGATCCAAGAGGATGAACATGGGAGAGATTTTGGAACTAGAATACAGAGCAACTAGTAATTACTCACTATAAAGAGAGAGAAGGGGAGATGGCAAGATGTTGCTAAGAGAGAGAAAGGAAGAAGAGAGAGGTTTAGAAAAGGAGCAGGTCGGCTGGGTACGGTGGCTCACTCCTGTAATCCCAGCACTTTTGGGAGGCCAAGGTGGGTGGATCACTTGAGTTCAGGAGTTTGAGAAAAGGAGCGTGTCAAGGGAGAACAGATGAAATGGGAATTTGAATAAGACATTCAGAGAGGGCCTTGAACTGTTCCCAATCCCTCCTTTTAATCTGACATGGCTATCTTCATTATCTATTAATAATGAGGCTGCACACAGTAGGCACTCAGGAGAAGACTGCACTCAGTCAGTTTGTTCACTTCCGTAACGCAGATGGGCCTTCACATAAGGAGAGCAAGGAGGGATCCTTCTTAGAGCAGTGCCCACAGCTCTGCTGCTGGGGCAGAATAATTAGCACAGATGCCCGAGGCAGACTGGCTGCCAAAGCAGATTGCTGAAAGAAAGGGGAACTGCCAGGTCATGTGTCCGACCGGCTGGTATCACTCCACTCTCAACAGTGTCTGCAAACACACTCCCGGCTTCTTAGAGGTGTATCATCTGATCTTCCTAATAGGCTGTCATATGCTAAAAGATTAAGGAAAAGAATTCTTACACTGCCTAAGGCAACAGCGTGGTTTGTGTTTTTAAAATTAGTAAGGTGGCAAAGAATCTCCTTAGGAAACATTACAAGATGAGTTATAAAACTTACCGTACTGCGTAAACACTAGCAGATGGTTGCCAACAAATCTTTAATTATCTTCAACTCATTATGCAGTCATTAACCTTGACAAATTAATAAAGGTGAACTAATAAACTTGTAGGCTTATATAACTTAAACAGTTCCAAACCACAAAGAAGATATAGATAGATGTTGATCAAATGATTTCGATGGGATCCTTTTCATCTCTCCTAAAACTGTATGGTAAAATTGCTATGGAGTGACTACTTTGTTTTTTTTTTTTTTCTCCTTTCTCTTTATACACTGTAAGAGAGACTAAGATAAGTTCCAAGCTATTAAACTATTTGTGATGATGTACAAGTCTTCATCATAATTGGGGGCACACTTTCTTTTGACCTTTACAAAACTTTCATTTCCCAAATGTGACAGATAAGAAGTACTTTTATAGCACCAATAATGATTTTTTCCTATGGGAACTTGCCAATTATAAGCTGAAAACGAAGAAAAGTCCACATTGGAAGTCCATTTAGAATCTCAATACAGCTGAAAATTTGAAGAATTATGCTTGGAGGATAGTGCAGGTAAGTTAAGAATGTAACCTAGAGAAATACACATTAAAATAGTGTGAGGGCAAATACTTGCTCCCTTAGCATTTAGCAAAATGCTAAGGGCCCATAAAATGTACTTAATAAAATGTGACTATTAGTCTAAGCTTTTGAATATGAATAAAAGCCTGGGAAAAATTAATTCATGATGCCCACAGCTGTTTCAGTAACACGTACAATGTACAACACAGTTAGGCATCAAGTTCTTATCAACTCACCAGACTTCCGATATCTTAAGAATTTCATCTTATTTTTCTCATCCTAGCAAGATGCTCAGAGCACATGAGAGCCTTAATAAAGGTGACAGTTAACTGAGCCCATTCAGATACCACAATAGTGTTCCAGTAAAGGATATGTGCTAATGCCTCACTTTTCTCTAACAATAAATCACTTTTTATGGGATCTTGATTTTACTCCTAATTTGACTTGGATTTTCATTACTTACACATGCTAAATAAAATTCATTCATTCATTCACTTGTTCACCCATTCAGCGAGTCTCTAATGATTTTTCCCTGTGTCTCAGGCATTGTTCTGTTCTAGCCCTCCACTGTCACATATGGAAGGAACCAATCACATGTGGCTACTGAGCACTTGAAATGTGGCTCATTCAAACTGAGATGTGCTGTGTGTAAATTACACACCAGATCTTGAAGACTTAATTAAAAAAAGAATGTAAAATGTCTTGATAATTTTTATATTGATTATGCATGAAAATAATATTTTAGATATGTCATGCTTTAAAAGTTAATATTAATTTGTCCTTTTTCTTTTTTTTTAACTTTTTAAAGTTATTTTTATTTCCGTCTCTTTTATTAAATTCTTTGTTTATAGAAGATTGCACTTACCGTTGCTCTGTTCTCATATTTTATAAGCACTTTGTTGTTTTTTTTTTATTATTATACTTTAAGTTTTAGGGTACACATGGACACAGGAAGGGGAATATCACACTCTGGGGACTGTGGTGGGGTGGGGGGAGGGGGGAGGGATAGCATTGGGAGATATACCTAATGCTAGATGACGAGTTAGTGGGTGCAGCGCACCAGCACGGCACATGTATACATATGTAACTAACCTGCACAATGTGCACATGTAACCTTTTTCTTTTAATGTTTGTAGGATGCCACTAGAAAATTTGATATATAATGATAGTCAACACTTTAGACAAAGCTTTTTTTTTTGAGGACTTTATATTCTACTTGAAGAAGCCAATGGTAAACAAAGAAATAAATAATAAGCAAGCTTATATAATTTCAGATAATAAAAAATATGTAAAGAAAATAAAGTAAGAGAAAAGAATGTGACCAAAAAGGGTTATTTTAGAAAGGGAAGCCACGGAAGTCTGTTCTAGGGAAGTGACAGCTGAGCAAGAAAAATGCACGATAGGTAGAGGTAGTAGTATAATGAGCTGGAGAATGTTCTAGGCAGGGGGAGCTGCCAATGCAAAGGCCCTGGGGTAGGAATAAGGTAAGCAAGTTTCAGCAACAGCAAGAAGGCCAGTGTAGCCGAGGCACAGGAGAACAAAAGCAGAGCAGGTTAGAAGAAAGAAAAGGGTCAGAATATAGGAATCTTGGTTGGAAGTTTAGGCTAAATTCTACATCTAAAGGAAAGCCATTGGAGGATTTTTCAGCAGGGGAATCACACAATCTTATTTAAATTTTTGAAGATAATTCTGGCTGCTGTGTGGAGGACTGATTAAGCACGGATAGGAATGGACACAGGAAATCAGTCAGAAGACTCACAGCATTCCAGGTGCGATTTCCATCATTCAAATCAATGTGGTTGAACTGATGCTCTCACATGCTACTGGTGGCAGTGTAAAAGGATTTAAAGCTTTCTACAAAGCAATTTGGCAACACATATCCTGAGCTGTAAAAATATGTTCACACCCTTTGACAGAAATTACAAAATTGAATCCCAATAAAATAACTGGAAAGGTGAAAAAATGTATGAAGGTGTACACTATAATTGTATTTAAAATAGAAGCTATCAGGAACTTCCCATGTGTTCAACAGCAAAGTAAATGATGAATGAAGTATTATATAGTCATTAAGTTACAAGTATGAAAACCAAGTAACTACAGATAATAGAATTCTCTACAGAAGAAATCCAAATGAATCTGTAGACAAATTCGGACAAATTGGAGTGTTAAGCAAGGCTGCAGAAAAAGCAGGGACATTCAAAAACCAACGCTTTCGTATACACCAACCACAATGAATTAGAAAATTCAGTTTTAAAAATTCACATTCACAACAACAAAAACTCTAAGGCATGCAGAAATAAGTTGAATAAAAAACATGCAGGATGTTATAGAAAAAGTAATTTTTGAGAGACATTAAAAATGACCTAAATCAATAGTTAGAGCCAGCATATACATAGGTGGGTAGACTCGATATGTTAAAGATGTCCATTCCCCACCCTCATTTAATCTATAAATTTCATATATTCAAGTCAAATTTCCACTGGGATTTTTTTTCATGGAACTTGACAAGCTGTTTTTTAAAATTTATTTGAAGGGTAAAGGGGCCAAAAATAGCCAAGACTTCAACCTACCACATACCAAAAGTTTCTATAAAGCTATTGTCATGGCTGAGATTAGGGAAGGCAACCGAGGCTCCTACAGCCTAAGGGCAGATGTCTGCACCAATTCTATGTCCAGCGCACCTTGCTTGCCTCATCCTAGTCTTAGCTCTGTGATACTGATATAAGGATAGGTGAGGCAAAACTAATGGAATAGAACTGGGCAGACAAAATGGTTGCAGATATGTACATTTTTAGAATACACAACAATACTCTGCATGTGTGTATCTATGTACATGCACAATGTATATATATGTGCACACATATATATCTTATACGTACATATAAGGGACACATACATGAGACAAGAGTATAAAAACATAAACAGAAAAGAAAAATAGAATTCTGAAAAGTTACTTCTGGGGAATGTGAAATGGAGTGGAGTGAGGGGAATTGAACTGGGCACTAATATTTTCATAACTTTAAATTTTGTTTCATAAAAGATTTGAAGCCATACACACACACACACACGCGCACACACACACGGATACAATATCAGAAATGCTAATTTTATAAGTGAAGAATAATACAAAATTATATATATATATTCACATTTCTAGCTATAAATATGTGTGGTCCATGTGGAGGATTCAAAATGTACAAAAAACGATATTGGCTCTTATGTTAAAGTACTAAAATTATAAAAGAGGTATGTTTTTCTGTTTCCCAAATTCCTGTTACATTACTTTAAAATGGTGTTTAATGTTTGATAAAGCATATTACAAATTTGAAAAAGGCCAAATCTAGAGCCTAAAATCATACTTAAAATATAATTATATGAAATAATTTAAGATAAACTTTGCTAATGCTAAACAACTACCTGTGGCCTGCAAGTATTCATTAGGATTAAGAAGAATCAAGCCCATCAATAATCCAAATTAAATGAATAAATTCATATTAATTACACTAAATTTACATTTCAATTATACTATAAGAAGTTTTACCGCATGTTCTCACTCATAGGAGGGAATTGAACAATGAGAACACACGGACACAGGAAGGGGAACATCACACACCAGGGCCTGTTGTGGGGTGGGGGGAGGGGGGAGGGATAGCATTAGGAGATATACCTAATGTTAAATGACGAGTTAATGGGTGCAGCACAACAACATGGCACATGTATACATATGTAACAAACCTGCACATTGTGCACATGTACCCTAAAACTTAAAGTATTAAAAAAAAAGAAGAAGAAGTTTTAAAAATCTATTCATAAAGCACTATAGTGTAGAGGTATTTTTATTATTAAATAATATATAGGGAGGGTTATATATGTGTTATACCTAGAAGCACCTCATTTAAATAAATTTTAAAATGTGTACACATTCCACCTCAGTTTCTATGAGGACCATCAGCACTGTTCTCGTTTCAATTTATTCAGGATTTACAAAATGAATAACGTAAGATTTATGGAAAATTTTAAGTAGTCTAGAGACCCACTGTTCTCAGCATAGAAACTAACCCTTAGAATAAGGTTTACTTATTAAAATAAGGAAGTAACTAGAGAAAAAGAATATAAAATAAAGTCCTTCACCTACTCAAACAAACACAAAGATCCACAAAGGATACTATTTGCAGAACTAACACCTCAGCAAGTATGACAGTAAGGGAAGGGATATCCTGGCCAATTACTCTGTGAAGTTCATAGTCATCAGGGTGGATTCATGGCCAAACACAGCAACCAAAGGCCGGTGTCACAGATCACCTACTCCAGGTAACAGAACTGTGCACAGGCCCTTAAACGTGAGGTCGGTCAAGGCCATCATCAGGAAGTGTGTTCTTTTACAGCAGTGTGCTTTGACAGGAAGAAATGTCGTTACTCAGGCATCTTAGGAAGCCATGTTAATCCTCCCCAGGTGCCATAATATGATTCCAGAAAGCTGCCTTTAATTTGGGGTTGGGGGAAGAGTGCTGACAACAACTGGCTACTGCTCTAAGCAGCTTCTCCCCTGGATGCACAAACAGAACAGAACTTGATAGTCTTCCTCCCCTGATTAATCCCACATTTGAGCCATCACTCATTACCTTGCTGAGTAGTAATTAGAAGGAAAAAGGGGAAAAGCTAGGGGTTTGGAATAAGCTTCAACATTATTAGTGTTTAACACTTCATCTTAATGCAGTGAGCTCAGACTATCATTACCCTCCCTGACACACTCAATATTCATACTCATCTCTAATCCTCTACCTAGGCTGTTTCTTTTTTTTTCTGACTTCTCCTCCAAATGATAAACAAATCAGGTCACTGCCCAGCTTAACTCAACATTGCCATCATCTTACTTTGTCTTCTCCGTTCCTAGCATCAGCACCACCCCTCTGAACACCTTATTAAGCACAGTCCTATGTCAATCCCAAATTATCTCGTTAGAAATGTGTGCCTCCAACAGGAGTAAGTCCCTCTAGGTTTTTAAGACAAAGTCTCTCTCTGTTCCCCAGGCTAGAATGCAATGGCATGATCTCAGCTCACTACAACCTCTGCCTCCCGGGTTCAAGCAATTCTCCTGCATCAGCCTCCCGAGTAGCTGGGATTACAGGCGTGCACCACCACACCCAGCTAATTTTTGTATTTTTAATAGAGACAGGGTTTCACCATGTTGGCCAGGTTGGTCTCAAACTTCTGATCTCAAGTGATCCGCCCCCCTCAGCCTCCCAAAGTGCTGGGATTACAGGCGTGAGCCACTGCGCCTGGCCAGACATCACAACTTGAGCAAAAATCACATTGTGAGCTTGATTAGGCACTCCCTTTCTACCCTGCTGCATGCAACACAACACTAGGTATATATGTCTGACTCAATTTGTTTGGCATTCTATTAATAGGGACGCCAAATGACTAGATTTCTACATTAATGCAATATTGATAATGACTTGGGGACACTGAAAATTGTTCAGAACCAAATGAAAGTTTAATTATGTTTGGCATTATTTTAGCAATTTAGTATATTAGATTATTTAGCAATTTAGCAATCTGGGTTATTAAAACACAAATAAAATTTAGCATTTTAACAAGTTTGGTTATTAGAAAAGTAATACTCCACAAAGGTAATTAAAGTGTGTCTCGTAATATGTGATCTTCCCCAGTACACCAATTCCCTGTATTTCCTGACCAAGATAAAAGCAGTTATTCGGATTTTCCCACCTATAACATATCTGAAAGATATAATAAAATAACACTTTCCATGGAAGACAACAAGCAACCTTAGAATGTAGACTACACATCCCGCGGGCACTTCTGCACAATCAGAATGTGAAGTTCCCTTTCCCAATCACAGTGAGGTTCTCAAAGAATGTTCTCTTGGAGAACTGCCAGTGTTTTGTGCTGCTATCTGAGGAAGCATTCTTGGAGGTGCCCATGAGCTAAAGCAGCAAAGGGCTCCGACTCTAAAACATTTCAAGCATTTTAATTTTTATTACAATTTAAACCATGTAAGCACAACCCTCAGAAAAAGAAAAACTCAATTAACAAGCTTTACTTTAAAGAGTCCATTTTTCTTCTAAGTATAAGCTGTGGGATGGCACCTTGCACACACACTCACATAAATTGATGTCAAGGCTCACAGGACCGCCATTCCTTCACCTCCTAGACTGCTGCATTTCAAAACTTATAATGTCTCCCTTTAGCTGCTTTAGGGACTTGGCATGAGATTTTTCAGCAGTCAGTTCCTTCAGCAAGGCCTGCTTTTGTGGAAAGGGTAAAATTTTATACGTACCAATTTGAGAAGCTGAATTTTTTTTTAAAAAGGGCAAGAGGAAATTGTTATAATTATAGAGACAGCTTTTGCATGCAAAATCAGTTTTCCTTGGGGAAATCTGCATACTCTCTATAAAGAATCCCCAGGCCAAAAGTACACATTATGCTTTTCAGCTCCAGTCTTTTTCAAAGCCATGCACTTGCCCAGGAATTGCATAAAGGGACAGTCTATGAATATGCTCCAGGCCTAGCCCAGATAAGCTGTTTATAAAACAAAAGACTTTACAAAGTTTTTTATAATATTTTAAAGACATATGGTATGCCTGAGGAACTGACCATTATCAATCAGTGTGAGACAATCAATAAAGAGTAGGGTATTTGGGCCAGGCACAGTGGCTCATACCTGTAATCCCAGCACTTTGGGAGGTCGAAGTGGGCAGATCACTTGAGGTCAGGAGTTTGAGACCTGCCTGGCCAACATGGTGAAACCCCATCTCTACAAAAATACAAAAATTAGCCAGGCATGGTGGCCCGTGCCTGTAATCCCAGCTACTTGGGAGGCTGAGGCAGGAGAACCACTTGAACCCAGGAGGCAGAGGTTGCAGTGAGCTGAGATCATCCACTGTACTGCGGCCTGGGCAACAGAGCAAGACTCTATCTCAAAAAAAAAAAAAAAAAGAGTAGGGTATTTGTTTCAACAGGTCTCCAAAACGTATCTAAACACTGTTCACAAAGATAATCACTGTAAAAGGCCTTCTCTTCAGATTCTTAACACTTCCAACTACATAATAAAAATTGGTCACAGTTGTTATGAAATGCTAAGAGTTAAGGATATTTTTGTGATAATGAAAGTAAAGCACAGGTAAAGGGACTATCCAAAATAAAGATCCATTTTTTTAATTTGGTCTAAATGTAAGGCATATTTGTCTTTGCTTTTAATTTTAGAAAAATTTTAGGTAATGAGCCTTGAAAAAAGGTGATAGTAATACTTCCACTAGTGGACTTTAAGACACATTAAATACATACTTCTATATACTTCATAGTGGAAAAAATACTTTGAGAAGGCAATATCCCATTTTAAATCAAAGTAATTATTTCTGTATGGAAGAAAATCCCTATGTTTTATGAGAGTTACTTGGAGCAGGCCATTCGTCTCAAAGAGGCTATTTTTATAATACAATAAATAAAATATTCTTAAATGAACTGCCCATCAATGGGAGAAAATTATCCATTTGTGTTAAAAGAAGTCTATTTTTGTCAGGTCTTTCCAAAGCAAACAAATTAGCAGTGGCTTTGGGAACTGTGAATCCACAGCCTCAACAGCAGTTGTCCAAAATTAAAGGTTTGTCAGAATGGGTGGGTGGAAGATGGAAACATTTCAAATGAGTATAAACATTTTATAACCCAGACAGAACCTTTCAAGAGTATCCCCACAGACTGAAATGATCTGTCACCTGGGCTAGGCCCCAGCTTCATAAATGGAACTTTCATAAATGGAATATTTTCAAAAATAACAATGAGAGAAAGCAACTCTTTGAAAAACAGATTTAAAGTAGAAAACATTCATAATATATTAAGTAGGAAAAGGAGGTTACAAAAGCATGAGATCTCAATTTCGTAAAACAAACAAAAACCAAATAAGATCCACACTGCCATCTGAAGAACACCACATTACAACATTAGTGGGTGCAGGGCCAAAGCCAGTTCTCTGTCCAATAACTTCCAGGCTTTGCCCAATGTACCTTCCCAAGTAGAGAAGAGTCATAGAGCCCTTTCAGGAAGCTCATCCCTGAGGGGGGTGTCTGTGACAAATCTAAGTCTAACATCGTTCAATCTGGCATTTTCCCAAACGTATATGACATGGAAAGTTTCCCAATGTCCCCAGTGACCCAGAACACCTATTAACATTCTTAGCAGCTCACCTTGGAAACAGTTTGAATAATAAATTGAATACCTGCTTAATGAATACAAGTAGTCAAAAAAATTGATGAAAGACCAAAAAGAACAACAGTACAATATCAAAAGTGGTGATTTGTGGGTTGTAGGATTTTGGATTATATTAATTTTCCAAATTTTCTATAACAAACATATTACCTTCATGATTATGAAAAAAAATACAGTATTTTACGATGCCTAAAGGGCTACACTGTTCATCTTCCTCTAAACTATTCATTGGTGAAGAGGACATTTGGTACTTCAAATGCCAACACACTAAGTTGGAGAAAAGGAGAAAGATCTGGCAATCTGTAGATTGCCACATGTAGACCATCTATAAAAGGCCAGCTATAAAAGAAACGTAGTCAGCTTAAATACTGTTCTCAGATTTCTGGTGTCCTATGAAAATAAATGAAGCAAGGAGTCCAGCCCTGGCAAAAGATGAAGGAGAACCTCAGCCTCACTAATTTCCTGTTTATTCTCTCAGATGCCAACCATTACACAGCAGCCTTTGGGAGAAATGTAAAATGTGTAGAGATAATCTAAACACTGTTTAGTCTTTTTATTTCCCCCACAAAAGACAGTGTAAATAGAGGAGAAATGATAGCTTACAAGACATTTTTATGAATCTGAGACAATAATGTATATGTCCATTGAAAGATGTTTAAATCCTATGTTTTAAAGATTCATATTTCATTGAAATAAATGCTAATCAGTGTAAGTTGTTATTTTCCATCAAAAATATATTTTTGGCATTTCTTCTTCAACTTTAATTTTTATTATATGTTTTAAAAAAAAAACAATTCCAGACAATATGGCTGAAAGGCTATGTTAGCCTTGACCTGTGCATTCATTTTCTATGCGGAGTTTCAAAACGTTCTACAAATTAACACTTTGCAAAAAATAGTTGAGTACTGTTTAGTAAAATACCCATTGCTTAATAATAATAATTTTAAAAAACTCTACTAACCTTCTCTGTGGGAACTTGTCCATAAACTTGAATAACAGATTCACAGAACATCAGGGCTAGAAGAAAGCTAAACTGGGCCTCCATACCCTTGACTCCCAATACTGAGGCCTGAATTGGTTAAGTGCCTCCCTCCAGGTCACACAGCTACTTAGGGACAACACAAAGCCAGATGACAATTTCCAGAAGACTGAGATTTTGAAGCTGTAACTGAAAACTCCCTGAGTTAATTAAGACAATGACTGCAGTTCAGTCCTGGCAAGAAAAAAAGGATAATATTTATGTGAGAACGAACTTAGTCCATCTGTGGCTGGCACACAAATCTTTCCCTTCACTATATTAGGCTTTCACTTTAACTTGTTCTGCCTGTCTTCCAAACAATTTTTGACTGATATCAGAAAACAAAAATCCTCCTGTTATTTCATGAGCCCAGCTTTTATAATTTGATAAGCACTAGAATATGTGTATTGTAGGTAAGTTGCAGAGGGGTGGTGGTAGGGAGTAGGGGAAAGGTTTATTAAATCAAGAAGCTATCATTTTAGGCCATTACGAAAAAAAAAAAAGCAATCATTTTATTTATTTCCCACACTCATGCATTACAATCCCACATGAATTGCCTACCAGTGAAAATTGTGAGATTCTCCTTCTCAAATAGGGAGACTGCTAAAATTCTATTTTAAAGTTTTATTGATATTTTTATTCATAATTTCCAGAGAAAGGACCAGAAGTGTGAGTTGGTTGTTTATTTTTGTTTTCTTTTGTTTTAATCAAATCAACTGCCTAAAGAAGAAACTGAAACTCCAGCACAATTCTGGTACTCTTATAGCCACACCATTTTATAAATGTTCAATACTTTAGACCCAGGGATACAAATTCACATCTCTGCTCTGAAGATCGTGCTATATTGTTTAAGTATCAGGGAAAGTATTCATCTATGAAAAATGTATACATTTTCAAGTCTATTCAGGCTAAAGTTAGTGTTAAGAGCAGCTAACACTTTTTTTTGGTGGGGGGCACCTTACATTTCTGGGACTCAATAAAGTTTACCAGGCACCTGGTTTTTCCTATGCAACCTACTTCAACTACCCCTTTCTCCTCTCTCTCTTTCTCTCTCTCTCTCTCTCTCTCTCTCTTGTTTTCTCTCTTCCTCTCTCTCTCATCACTCTGTATCTCTCTCCTGCAATTGGCTTTGCTTTCTCACTAGGCTTTTCCCCCATGTTATTCCAAGTTTGGGCAGCTGCACCTGGATCAACCAGCTTATATTTAAATTAAACTATCTGACAGGACATGTAAAATTGTCTTTCAGTAATTTTAATTCATTTTTCTTTCTTTTTTGGCTGCTATATCCAATTTTAATGGTAGGGAATATATTTGGCATTCTTGAAAAAAAAAAAGAAGATCTTGTTCCTTTTGAATTCTTAATAATAATTAGTATTATCATCATCATCATTTCCATGCTTCACAATTCATACCTCAGCAAGGAATTCAAGCTGACATGTTGTGCTGATCCAACTTTTGCACCAGCCTCCTGTTCAGTCAAATTTCAGTCCTCATCTTCTTTGACAGCCCCTCTGATTAATCCTCCCTCCTTGAAACACTCAGCAGGTGGATTCTAAGACGCCATATGCCCTTGGTTTTCCTCCTACTTCATTAGCTCACTTTATCCCTGATCTCTAACACTGATTCTTCCCTATCTCCCCACCCTCTAAGTGCCCTTAGACTCAGTCCTCTGAGTCTTGTCTTTGCTTCTTGTCCACATTCACTTTTCTAGTGACTTCATCCAGACTCACAACTCCCACATTTACACATCTTCAGCCTAGTCCCATCTGAATTCCAGACTCTTAATATCCAACTAACTCCTGGTTCTGTCTTCATTTTGGACACCTAATGGGAATCATGATTTTACATATCCAAAACCAACTCCTGATCTTCTCCATTCAAACCTCTCATAATGCAGTCTTCCCCATTCTAGCAAATAGCACTTCCATCTTTTCAATTGCCCAGGCACAAAACCTTGGAATCCCCTTCACCACCTCTTCCTTCCTCATACCTTACGTGGAATCCATGATCAAATCCTACTGACTCTATCTTCAAAAGAGATCGAGAATCTCACCTCTTCAAACCACCTCCATCCCTCCAAACCTCGTTAAAATCAATATCCCCCAATCTCCCTTGATTACACAGGAACATAACCTCCTGATTCTCCTTCTTCTGGACGTGCTCCCTCACAGTGTACTCTGAACTCAGCAGCCAACGTGAGTCTTCTCAAAAGTAACATCCCAGCACTCTTGGGTCCCAATTCTCCAAAGGCTCCCTATTCCATTTACAGCAGGAGTCGAAGTCCACACAGAAGACTATAAGACCCTCCTCCCTACGCCACCCTCCTGCCCAATCTCCCAGCACTCTCCTCATGTTCAATCCGGGGCTTCCTTGCTCTTCTTCAGAAACAGCAGGCTCACCTCTGCCTTATGGCATTGGCATTTGCTACCTCCCACCCCCAAAAGCCTGAGGAGGTCGCCCCCCACAGATGACATGTAATCCTTCCTTAGCAACTTAGGGCCTTGACTCAAAGACCACCATCTCAGGCCGGGGTGGGTAGGCTTCCCTGTTAATCTTTTCTAAAATGACAACACACCCTCTGCTCCCTATTCCCCCTTTTCTCTGTAATGATAATCAGTAACAATATGCTAAAATTTTGACTGTTGGTTGTTCCATCTTCCCCACTAGAATTTAAGCTGCAAGCTGAGATTTTTACTTCTTTAATGCACTTCTGAAGCCCCAGCTCCTAGAATAGTACCACAACAGACATAAGAGTATAATCCATAATTGTTGAACGAGTAAATAAATGCTCCACTATAACCTGGTTTTTCTTTACAAAAGGTCAAGATAATCTTCCCACACAAATAAACACACAACTAATCGAAGGGACAGGGACAAGATTGGCCATGACTGGGTAACAGTTGAAGCTGGGTGATGGTCATATGGAGATGGTTTAGGCATTCATTCTACTTTTGTGTATATTTGAAATTTTCTATAATGAAAAATGAATATACATTTGCTTAATTATTTAATGACCGCATAGTATTCCACAGTCTGACTACCATAACTATTTAACCAATAACCCTACTGGAGGATATTTAGGTTTCATCTTTTTCTCTATCACCAAAGATGTTAGGATAAATAATCTTACACAACTATCCAATTTGCCTTACAACAAATTCCTAGAAATAGAAGGGTTTGCACATTTAAAATCTTATACATACTGCCAATCTTCCCTTCACAAAGTCTGACCCAGTTTATGTTCCCATTGGCACATTAAAGGAGTGCTATTCTAAGAGTGGTCCATAGAATGGTGCTAGACTGCAAAATGTTCCTGACTGGTCCACTGAGATAGGTCCAGAAATTGAGAGTAAACATTTAGAAATATTTAACGCACTTTGAGAGAGTTAATTTTATGTCTGATGAACATTTTGTGTGTGTGTGTGTGTGTGTGCATGTGTGTCATATTTGATATTTTATTCCGAATATCTGTGATTTTTGATTTCTGGCTACTTATTTTTACTGTATGTTACAATCATATCTGTCAAAAACAGACTGGGAAAATATGGCCCTTCAGTGCAGTTTGAAAAAAAACTACACTGTTTGCCCACAGCATCATCAATTATGAACTTTTTGCTTGTTTTTATTTGTCATTTTAGTTACCGAGAAATATAGGTTGGTGCAAAAGTAATTGCGGTTTTTGCCATGACTTTTGATGCAAAAAACCACAATTACTTTTGTACCAACCTAATAATATACCACTGTTGGTTTAATTTGCACTTTTGATTGCTGACAGATTTGACCATCTTTTTATATGTTTGACGGCCCCATATTCATTATTTTAACTCCACAACTTTATTAAATGTTCATCTTGCTGATAAGGTTGTCAGAGTTTATTTTAAAAGCTCTTTATACTTTGGAAATATCAGCCTTTGTTGATCATATTGTTTGTAAATGTTTTCCCGGTATATGCTCTGTCCTTCAAACAAGTTGAGATGGTTGCTGACATTTTGAAAAATAAAGATGTAAAACATATGTATATGTAGTCACATTTTTAAATCCTTTCCTTCATGGTTTCTAGTTAGAGATGACTTCCCCACATACACATAAATTGTAAAAATATTTATCCATAGATTTTTATCATAAATTTACAGTTTATCTTGTTATATGTATAATTTTGATCCCTAGAATTATTTCTATATTAGCAGTGTGGTAGAGACCCTGCTTTATTTTTCCAGAAGACTTTGCAGGTGTCCCAATACCTTTTATTGAGTAATTAATCTTTTTCCTACCAATCTGAAACACCAATCTTATCATATACTAAATTACCATACATGTGTATGTAAAACAAGGTTCTTTAATATTTTACTCATTGATGTATCCCTGTATCAATACCATTGTTCAATCATCATTGACTTAAAATATTCTTTAATATCTAAGATGCCAAGTGCCCCTCATAAGTATTTCTTGTAATTCTGAGAGTATTAATAGGTTCATACTTCCAGATGCACTTTGGAATTATTTTGTCAAGTTCCCTAGTTTTGATAGAAATTGTACTGAGTGTACACTTCAAATGAACAAATCTGATATTTTTGTATTACTACACTGAATCTGGCTTTCCAAGAACAAAGAATCTCTCTCCACTAATATGAAACTCATTTTATGTCCTACAATTCAGTTTTGTAGCTTTCCTTACTTAGTTCCTACCATACATTTCTAGGAAAGTCATTCCAAACTTTTGTATGGTTGTACTGTTATTTTGGATGTGATCTCTTTTTAATAATATTGTCTAATATTTATGCTTGGTAATTAAATCATCAATTTTTACTTATTTAGTTTGCGGCTAACCAGCAATTTTAATCAACAATCATAGTACTTCTAATAGCTTTTTAGGTGAGTCTAAACATACTCTGTTAATTTCATTCATATCTTCATTCACTCATTTTTTTAAAAATCAAGCACTTGTTACATATATCTCAAGATATCAGAGCAACTAAAGATTAATATTATATTTAAAAATATGGATCTCCTCCAAGGAACATAAAATCTAGTAGAGCATATAAAATATACATATATTATTGTACAAGACAGAAATTGGGAGGTCTTTAAAATGGTACAGTTAAACTGTATGATGAGAGGTAACAGAAAGACATACTACAGAAGGATGGAGAGCTTAAGGAAGTCTTCATGTGAGTGGTAGCATTTATTATGAGGACAGAATGTTAGGATGTGAAGAGATTAAAGGGATAATATTCTGGGAAGAGAGAAAAAAAGTATAATCAAAGGCAAAAGAAGAAAAATCCAGATAAATTTGGGCTAAAACGCAGGGTATACTAAAGAAGGAATAGGGTAAACTAATAAATGGACTGTTCTGAATGCAAGACTAATTTTGTTCTTAGGTAGAAAATGGGGAGCTACAGGACAAACAGAGCTATGTTCTAGGAAATTGAATCTGAGGACAAGATGCAAATACTGGGCAATTTGCGGGTGAGAAGGACTGAGGCAGAGAGAGTATGGTAATTTTAAAACATGGTCCCCAAATTCTTTGACACTTCTCCAGTTGAGAGGTAGGAGTCTGTATTCCCACTCCTTGAACTTAGGCTTTGTGGCTGCTTGACTATAATCCAGCAGAAGTGACACTAGACCAGTTCCCATGTCCAGACCTTAAGAAAGTGACAACTTTTACTTCTATCTCTTGGAAAACTTACTCTTGTAACTCAGCCACCATGCTATGAGGAAGACCAAGCAGTCCATTGAGAGCCCACATGGTGATGACGGAAATCCCTAGTTCTTAGCTCCCAGCCAACTGCTGGCATCAACTTGCCAGGCATGTAGGTGAATCATCTCAAAAGTGGATCCTCTGGCATGCAGTCAAAATATCCCCAGCTGATGCCATAAGGGGCAGAGATGAGCTTTCTCTGCTAAACCCTGCCCTAACTGCAGATTTGTGGTTGTTACTGTTTCAAGCACTTAGTTTCACGGTGGTTTGTTGCACAGCAATAGCAACTGGAACAGAGACCAATTTAGAGGCTCTCATAATAGTGCTTATCAATGAGAAAAATGACTTAAAAGCAGCTGTGAGAATGGGGGAAATGGGTTAAGATGCCAGCATATTCTGAAGATGCAATTAATAAATGGGAAAATTGCAGCCTAAAATTAAACAATTATAATTTAGCCTCTTAGTTATTTCTCTGAATAAGAATTAACTAGATAGAAATAGTTATTTACTAATATTTTGGATGGGAAAGGGATTTTCTAGTACAAAGTAGTAAATGTGGCAAAACTGGAAATACTCTAAAGACAACCTTCGGGGATTTAACGTAGACCAATCACTCTCAAATTTTGTGCTCAAGACAAGTTCAGGGTTCTGAAAGGTCAAAATTATTTTCATAATGATACTAAGAAATTATTTTCCTTTTATTATTCTCACTCTCTGAAAGAGTTTTCCAGAGCCTTCATCATGTTCAATATCTCAATAAACTGCAGAAGCAAATAAGGGAATTCACGTATCTTTTATTAAGCAAGACTTTAAGAGATTTGCAAAAATATTAAATGGTGCCATTCTTCTCACCAAACATATATTGTTTGGAAAAATACAGTAATTCTTCATTTAAAAAATTCTTACTTACGTTAACATGTAATGGGTTTATCACTGTTATTTAAAATAAGTATTTGTAAATGTTCCCATTTTACTTTTTAATATAGCAAATAGTTATGATATAAGCTGCATGTTAAAAAGCTGTTTAGAACTCTGAACAATTCTTAAGAGTATAGAAGGGTCTTAGACCAAAAAGTTTGAGAAGCACTCCATACTGGAGTAGTCAGCACAGAGTATATGCCAATGTGTTAAAAAGTACAATGGAATGGCATGAACCCGGGAGGTGGAGCTTGCAGTGAGCCGAGATCCCGCCACTGCACTCCAGCCTGGGAGACAAAGCAAGACTCCGTCTCAAAAAAAAAAAAAAAAGTACAATGGCAGAGCAGACATGAAGAAGAACAAAGGCAGTAGGAGTGAGTATATGTGGTTCCTACAAGTCCTAGACTTAATTGTCATCATTGCCTTCATAGCTTATATGGAAGTGACAGCCAAGCAGCTATTTTATGCAGACTTTTTTTGGTGTTCATAATAATCTTGCTGAATAGCACCTTTAAACCCCAGAGAACATGGCAGGAGAGATTAAATCATCTGTCTCAGGTTACAAAGTGCTGATATTAATAATGTCTTATTTTTGTTCAAGCTATAGCCCCCCCCCAAATATGCTCTGGCATTATTAAGAGGAAAAAGTAGGTATATTAAGTCAACAGAAATAAACTGTTAACATAAGTAGTTATTTCTGTTTATTAAGCACTTTTCTCCTAAAGAACTAAAAACATTTCAAATATATCAGCATGCATAAAACCTCCATTAATAACCTTACAGGTATACAGTTGCTATTTCCATATTGTAGAAGAAGAAAATGTTATTAGTTAATACACAGTAAACTAAAAAGCAAAAACATTAAATCCCTAATTCTTCATCTCTGCCAAGCAATCATTTACATGTCATGCCAAAAGCAAAATGTATATCTCGAACCACCGCATTTGCTGCTTTTAAATGAGTATCAAATACTTTCTCCTTCTGTTGTAATCTAAGATGATTTTGTATAATTGTTTCCCTCTTTCCATCTTCATTGGCTACCTCTATCATCTATACAGAACTATTAAGCCTGGGAAATGTTTTCTAATAAGACCATCAACCATTTTCTATACATTTATGAAGCAAAATTAGTCACTGAACTTGCATTCTCAGTTACCGCAATCTTTGTAGTGATCCAAGAGGATTAAAAACTCACTCAGAACTCTGATTTACAGCCAGGTGCGGTGGCTCATGCCTGTAATCCTAGCAATTTGGGAGGCTGAGGCAGGCAGATGACCTGAGGTCAGGAGTTCGAGACCAGCCTGGCAAACATGGTGAAACCCTGTCTCTACTAAAAATACAAAAATTATCTGGGCATGGTGGCAGGCACCGATAATCCCAGCTACACAGGAGGCTGAGGCAAGAGAATCACTTGAACCTAGGGAGCAGAGGTTGCAGTGAGCCGAGATCATGCCACTTCACTCCAACCCGGGTGACAGAGCAAAACTCCATCTCAAAAAAAAAAAAAAAAGCTGATTTACAAAACTGGCAAATTGTTTTTACAATGAGGCACTAAGCTTTCCTCTAACTCTTAGACCTATCTGTAAGCAACACTAGGCAATATGTAGGGAAATGTATGTAGGCCATAATCATACTCTTGTATAAGCCATGCTACTACTCAGTGCAAGAAGATGATTCCACATAATGGGCAACTGAAAAATGAAAAAATGTCAGCTAATACCTGATAAAAAGAAATAATGAGATTTATGTGGCTGAATGAGGGTGTACAAGGGTAATGTCAGCCTCTGCAATGAATAAATCTGAAAATACATAAAGAGTTAACATAATAGAACCTCATTTCTCTTTCTTGCTCGCATAATTTATGCTCCATCTTTCATTGTATAGAGTTTGTTACTGGGAAAGACGGCAAATATGACTATTAAAGATTTTCTGTTCAGGAACATGTGGATTCCTGAATAGGAATAGTGAGGAGCCATCCATAACGCAATGATTTAGACTCAGGTTCACTTGATCCTGTCTCTCACCATCCCCTCAGGCCTCCCAGTCATCTGAATCTAACCACAGGAAAGAGGACGATAGAGCCTGGGGTTTCGACGCCTTGTCCCAGATTTGCCCTACAGGACTGTTCACATTGTGTTGGTGAGGACAAATCATGTAGCTCACCTACATACAAATGGAGGCTGTTCCACCAGTCTCTCTGGTTGGGCGGCTGCTTCACACCATACTTCTTTTCTATTGAGGGCTGAGCATAAGTGATGATGGACAGCAGGCAACCTCTGTCCCTGGGGTGATGGTTCCACTGCCAGGCAAGCCTCTGACCAATTATCATGAAATATGAAGAAATGGGCCACCAGAAACTTCACCTCACAGGCGGGCAGCCTACCCACATAAAAATCATGCTTGGGATGAGGAATCCCTCCACGGGCGACACACCGTAGCATTCTACGGAGGAAGCTGTGGCACTGTCGAGATGATGCAGATGGTCACACAGCTGCTGTGTGCACGAAAGTGGGAATCAGCGCACAGGAGGAAGAGACAATATGCTTAAGAACTCAAAACATAACGTGAAACAATATGTGAGTCTATCTGTTCTGGAAAAGCAATAAAACAGGCATACCAGCCTAGCCAAGTAGGAATCAGAAAAAGAGTGATTATTCACAGGCAACAGTTTTGATTACATGGTGCATGTAAGAAACAGAATTATAAACACAATTCTCTATCAAAAACAAAAAATGGAGTTGCTCCATTACTAAATCCATGGGGGATGTTTGAAATTCTGATATATGTATTCTTCCATTAAAGTATATTCCTTTCCATTAAACAAGTCAGCATATCTTCCTTGTGTTACAGCTAAGTGGTTTCTTTTGATTTTTCTTTAATTTTCCTGTTATGAAGTTTGAGGTTACAGTGAGCTGCAGTCATGCCACTGCACTCCAGCCTGGGCAACAGAGCAAGACCCTGTCTCTAAAAAAAATTAACAATAACAAATAAAATTAAATTGTCCTGTTATTATTCCACGTAAGGAGGATGTCCATTAGAACAAGGGAGACTAGTCCAGCTCCTTATACTCATGGGAAGGCTGTTTCCATTAGTATTGCTTTTGTTCCCAGTAACTAACTCTGTTTCACCTACTGCACTGTTGGTGCTGGTCACCACAGGTGGCTCTGGACCTGCCACCATGGTCCTCCTGCCCGCACCAGTGATGGGCAGAATTCCAAACCATTGCCTCTCTAAGTCATCTCGCCAGAGCCCCAGTCCCAGATGTGACAAACCTGAAGTCCCATGAGTGTGCCTACTTGCTGGCAGACATCAAGAAAAACACAAAAGTGGGCATTTCTGCTTGGGAAGTTAAAAGAAATGACACTTTTATCCACCCAGCTTCACACAATGACGAATGCCCCCAAATTCAGGAAAAGGATTCAGATACCAGGTAGCCCAAATGGGGATAAATGTCTACTGTACACACAATAAAATGTTAATTCAAACTGGCACATGGACCCCTGCCGCTTGTCAGGGGATATGGGCCATAATGAAAGGGAGGGGAGCTGGAAGATTATGGGGAAACAATTTTCTTTTCCACGCATTCACTAAGGACTCCTGTCCATAAAAATCTCCCACGATTTATAGGGTAAACCAGGCTTTGTCTTCTCCATTCCATGCCAGGACCCCAGGGGCAAAGCCCCTAGGAATAGCTTTGTGGTGTTGGTACTACTTGTGGCATGGAGCAGTCCTAGTGATGACAATTGTCCCCAGCACTGTAAAAAAAAAAAACTTTCTATGATGATGATAATGTTCTATGTGCTGCCCTCTAGCCACATGTAGCTAATGAGCATGTGAATTGTGACTGGTGTAAATGATGAACTCAATTTTTAATTTTCTTAATTAAAATAACTATATGTGGTTAAATTTAAATGACCACATGTGGCTGCTAGCTTTCGTACTGAAGAATACATCTAACCAAGCTACCATACAAGAAAATGGACTGTTTAAAAGTTTATAGAAGAAAGTTCCTCTATTGCCCCTAGTAACCTAATCTAATATCTAATAAAATAAACATCTGAGTATTTCTTTCTTCTGACTATTTAAAAACATTCTGGCCCTGTCTTGCTCGAATCATGGATCCAATCTTAACATGATTCAGATACCTTCCCCATGTTCTAGAGCAACAACTTTCAACTTCTTTGATTATGAGCTTCTTTGATTATGAGAACCATGTTTAATGTCAAAATGAATTGTTAGCCATTTATAATAGTAGTATAAATGGTAGTAGTATAAAGTAGATTTAATTTCTATTGATTAAGAAAATACATTATAATAAAAAAGCACCTCTTAATTCAGTAACACTTCATATTCATATATATTTCCTTATAGCAGGAATGATACAGAGTTTTAAAATAGTCATATATATATACGTATATATACATACATATATATATATACGTCGCCAGACAGTTAGGAGCACAGTCTTGAAAAGGCTCCTCAACTGCGTGGGTGACAGAGCCCAGGAGGCTGTGGAGTATTGTAAAAGACCTGGAGTATGTGGCAATTAATTCCAAGGATGTCTCATGTATTAAATAGTCTCATATATATATACACACACACACACACACACACATATATGTATATATATACACACACACGTATATATGTATATATGTACATATATACGTACATATGTATATATACATATATATGAGACTAACATATATACGTATATATATGTGTATATATATATGAGACTATTTAACACATGAGACATCCTTCGAATTAATTGCCACATACTCCAGGACTTTTACAATACTCCACAGCCTCCTGGGCTCTGTCACCCATGCAGCTGAGGAGCCTTTTCCAGAATGTGCTCCTAACTGTCTGGCGACCTTGCAGATATGTGAGTTTTTATTCCCAAGAGGGATTTTAGATTAATGTTGGATAAATGCGAAAAAGCAACTTTCCTAGTAGTTGAAAGTCGAATTTTTTCTATACATATCTGCTAGCAGATACGTGATGCAGATGATTTATGCTGCAGTTAAGTCCAATTATTATTCAAGATGATCAAGGTTTAATAATTTGGATTTCCTAAAAGTGTATTTTTATAACTCAGCATTTATATCACACTTAACAGCTCTTTTGCAGTCATCATTCTATCAAAGATTATCCTCACTCTCTGTCTTTGATTAACTCATGTTTCTCTATATCGTCTTTGAAGCCAACATTTAAATAAATAATCTGAGAAAAAAAAGAAAACATTTATTTAACTATTATGCAGTCAATTCACTGCAATAATTGCATACAGCAGGTTTTTGAACTCCAATTTTGAAGCAAATTCGCAACAATCTCTCTGGTCTCTGTAAGTTCACTCTGCTAGCATACTCTCATAGGGTTTATTTATGTCCAAATGCCAAATTTACACGGGTGGCTCTATTTATCTTAAATGGGCCGAACATTACAACTCAGCTTCAACTCCTCTATTTCCAATTTGGAAATCAATGTATGTTCGTTCTCCACACTAGATTTCCAATGATATAGTATGGACCATAGTCTTCACTTTTTGCTATCTAGAGGTGGGTGCTTTATAAGTAACATGTGAGCAACTGCTTGGTGAGCTCTGTCAGAGAGAACCAAGCCATTCCCAGGGCAGAGATGGCTGGGAGCTAGCTGGATGGGTAATTAAAAGCTGGAGGTGAATGGTCATTCTTGTGAGGTTGCAGAAGAATGAGGAAAGACGCCATCAGCATCACGAATTTGTTATTGTAATTAAATCAGGACAAATTGTTTCTATACCCTAACTTCTCAGCCCAGAAATGATCTAAAAGGTAAAATCTTACAGTCTGAGAGCCAACTAGAGGATAACATGAAAGGATAATGGCACAAGGTCAGATTTGACCACTGTGACCTTAAAACACCCCCCAAATCTCTGAGGCAGTCCTGTGGTTTGGGGTGACAGCCCCATGGGACCCACCATACCACTCATGCCTAGCGGTTTCCCAGTCTCCACAGGCACTCCCTGAACGCATGGCTCTAGTCAGAACCAAGTCCCCAACTACACCTTTCAGAACAGGAGAGCCAGTCCATATTTCAGAATAAAAAGTATGAGATAAAAACCAAAAAAAAAAAAAAAAAAAAAGGCCAGGCTGTGGCTCACACCCATAATCCCAGCACTTTCGGAGGCCGGGGTAGGCAGCTCACTTGAGATGAGGAGTTCGAGATCAGCCTGGCCAACATGGTGAAATCCCATCACTACTAGAGATACAAAAATTAGCTGGGTGTGGTGGCGGGCACCTATAGACCCACCTACTTCAGAGGCTAAGGCAAGAGAATCCCTTGAACACAGGAGACAGAGGTTGCAGTGAGCCAAGATCACGCCACTGCATTCCAGCCTGGGTGACAGAGCGAGACTCTGCCTCAGAAAAGAAAAAAAAAAGAAAGCCAAAGTGGCTCCTAAGCTAGTATGAGTTCACTCCATGAAATTTGGAAACCTCTTGCAGGCTCTGTATGGATTACAAAAAGATACCGTACACCCAAGAATGCCCCCAACCTTATTACAGCTGACAAAGTATGCAGCAAATCACAATCCACACACTGAAAAAGAAATCTCACACCACAAAATGAAAGATATCACATTTTTTACTGGCCACAGACCATTTTACATTTCCACACTGTCTTGGTTTCCTAGAAAGATGTCACCCACTGAAAAAGACAGGAACACATTTCATCAAGATGAGCTGAAATAAATGTATTGCAATAAAAAAATGGATCTGCTGAGAAGCATTCACTTATTATACATCACATACATTGACTGCTGTAGACATCAACTTTTGTCTCAAAATAGTCATTCTTTAAAAAGACTGGCAAAGTTAAATATTGAATTTAGAAAGATGAATCTGAGGTTTTAATTCAATTCACAATGGCACGTGTTAGTGGCATAAAAAATTGCTTCTCGATTAAATCATCTGGATTGTAATTTATTCAAGATAAAATTTTTTTAGTCACAAATTAAAAAGCACATACACCTACCTTTTTAAGGGAGATCACATTTTCAGGATTCTGAATCAGAGAGAAATTGTCTTTTCCTGTGAAGAAAAAATAGAAGAAAAACTACCTACTAGTAACAATAAATAGCAAATGTGAATTTTTAAGACCAGCCTATAATCTTACCATGTTGTGTTTCATTTATAATATTAAACAAATGGAAATCTTTAAATTAGACTTGAAATATTTCTTCATTTCTATCTACATAAAACATTTTACAGATTTTAATTCCAATGATTTGCTTTTTAAAGAACAAAATGGATAAAATCAAATGGAAAATGGATAAAAGTAAATGAAAATTGCTCAAAATTAGAATTAAAGTTTTTACATCACATCTATCCCAATGACATATTTTCAAACATTTTGCTTAATTCCATAAAGTAAATGTATAAACAAAGAAGGAAATATATAAAACTCCACTCTTGTTTCTGCTTTTCCAGTGGGAAAATGATGTGAAAAGGTTGTGATGGGCTGTGTAGGTAGCAGAAGGTAAGAGAACTATGAGCTGCTACCTCTTTCTATTGATTTTTTATTGTCCAAGCCAATAAACTATATTTATGGGCTCTATTTTTCTTAGCTAAGACTTTTAGATTACAAAAAAACTACATAAAAATTTAAATAAAAACAGGATACCTCTGATTTTATTTTACATGTATTACTTTCAATAAACAATTGACACAGAAACCTACTAGTCACTAACAAATACTAAATATGACTTTTCAAAATCACTTGTTAATATAAATTATTTTAACTTTACATATTCAAGCCAAAATAAGAAAGTAAATGGTTTAGTTTAATATAAGTTAATCATCCACTACTATAAACTGTTTCCGGTCAAATCTAATTAAAATGACCCATGGGATAATGTTCACAAGAATGTAATTCTGTCTCTGACCATGATATATGTTTGGTTCCGTCTGTAATTTAACTTCCAATGGGGATAATGATATATAGATTCAAAAACAATGACCAGGATTCTGACCCAAAAGAGCTCCAAAGATTTGAAATGACCGCCAATGCATAAATTCAAGGAGACCACAGTCCAGAGGAGTCCCTCTCCCCAAATGAGAAATCCTCCATTAGCTTGTGTTTGCTTCACTTCAGAATAAAAATCCTTTTTAAACTTTAAATAAGAAATTCTCACAACATCCTACTGAAAGGATCGTGAACCCTGCAACCATGTCCATGTCTGCAAATAGCCAAAATGAGTTCCACTCTTCTTGGCTAAGCTTAGATAGCTGCAGAACCTCTCTCCTTCAGAGCAACACCAATGCCCCATGTGGACTCCCCAGTGTAAGCCAGCATCTGGGGCCTTTCCTCTCTTGCTCTTCACCACTTCATATGTCAACCAGCAGTACTGTGGTCCCCTTCACTGCCAATATAGTATAGTGATGGTAAGAGCTGCCTGTTCTATTTTCTGAAACTACAGTTGCAGGT
This sequence comes from Homo sapiens, assembly GCF_000001405.40. Classification (NCBI taxonomy): domain Eukaryota; kingdom Metazoa; phylum Chordata; class Mammalia; order Primates; family Hominidae; genus Homo; species Homo sapiens. Next base: position 9,094,890 of record NC_000020.11, on the reverse strand, counting down.
AAGCTCTGCTAACAAAAGAAAGCCAAGATAGCTAAGAAAGCCACGATGGATTGATGATCAATATGCACACATGGGTCACTGCACGTACACTAAGCCAAATCATAATCTATGACATAGTAACAACTGGGGTGGGGCCACTTATAGATCTTCAGTTCATAACTGACCAACCAGAAATAATATATCTATTTTTGCTTCAAATATGGATTTGTTTCAAAACAATCCAGTTGAGGTCACTGATGGGGAGGAGTAATGGATGAAACGAAACTGCCATGAGTTTGTTACAGTGTAATGATGGATATATGAAGGTTCACTGTGATATTCACTGTACTTTTATGTATATTCAAAATGTTCCATAATAAAAAGTTTTTTAAATGTTCATTTGATGGGAATTATTTGTGAAAATACAGAGAGAAATGCACAGATCATAACTATCACAACCTTTCTGTTTTTCAAATACTTTCTAACAAAAAAAAAGAAATACTTTAGGCAAAAATTTTAAAAATCAAATATCACACTAGGAAAAATGAAAAGCTTATAGGTATGGTTTAAAAAAATTATAAAAATGGCTTTGAATATTTATTTCAATATTCCAAAGCCAAATAACAAATATATATTTAGTTGCAATAAATCTTCTGTTTCTTTTTTGATTTTAGGTATCCTGCTTTCAATTAAGTAACATCAACATAGGAACACTGGTTATCTCATTCTTGTCAGAAATTGTAGGTAGTTAAATACACCTTTGATTCATGTAATTGGGGAAATGAATAACATATCATTAGTATCAATGTGATGTTTCATGAACAAATTCTTTCTAATGCCAACATCCAAGAGGAAACAACTTTTTTTAAAAATCCTTTATTCATGGCAAAGATTTGGGGCCACAGATATAAATTATCAGATCTGCTACCTGCTTATCCTAGCTCAGTGATCTGTCACTGTGAAACAGACAAAAGATGGGCACTTTATGGATTATACCACGCAATTTGACTAAAATTTGAAAGAGCCAAAAAGGGGCCATGTGACACTAAAGCTGAGCTCTCACAACAAGCAGGGAAAGTCACCCACAAGTAAAATCATCCTCACAGCCCAGGAATTTGATTTACTGACCCCGCCAGATGCCACTACTGGAAACCTGACCCTCGCCATAAAATAAAAAGCAGGATTTATGTCATGGTTTGGGGAAAGACCATGTGTAAAGCTGTGCCTACCCCACATCAAAGACAAACCAGGTGCCAGAAGAACCTCACATTCCCTCTGAACAGAAAACACACCGAGATCTAACACTAAATCCTAACGTGAGATGTGATGATTAAAAACAAGAAAATAAAAAACATAGTTCATGGTCTTCTATTTTCTTTTGCAAGCTTTCCTGGCCTAAAACAATCTGTTTCCTTTCCAATAAAGAAACAATGCCAAACTCTGAAAAGGAAATTTGTCTGACTTAATGGGTAAGCATATAAAAGCTGGAAAAGGGAGTATTATGGGAAAACCAGAGCAACTCAGCCTCAGGAGGCAGGCTTCCAAATTTATCAGTAAAAGGACTGAGGGTCAGAGGAGGGAGGGTAGGGTTAATAATTACGAACGAGTTACATGACGGAGGTCAGCTAAACAAAATTCAGTTGTTTTCAATTTGAAAATCACAGTTCTAGCCATTTACTACATGAGCTAAGAGAAACATCCATTAGCTCGCAACCATACTTAGATATTTTACATTCATGCAGCCATAATATGAGGACTAGTTTTATTAAATTTGCAATGGTATATCCTAAGGCCTTATGCATTTAATAAATATGTGTCAAATAAGTGAATGAATGAAGTAGCATCTAATACTTACCAAATCATGAAATCTAAAACTAAGCTAGTAGATGTGACAAAAACAAAATTCCCAGGTATGGTGGCTATAGCTATTTGTTTAGCCAACATTTATAGCGTTACGAGCCAATATACTAAGCTGAAACGATTTGCTTTCCCAGATACTATGGCAGCTAGGGATAGCCACATGACACAGTTTTGACCAATGAGATACAAGAGAGAGAGCTCTGAGAAAGTTCATTCTCATGATGTAAACAAGTCCCAATCCCTCATTTCCTGGAAATAGCTCCTGAGTGGTGCAGAGCCATCTCACACCTATGAAGACAAATAAATGCTAAATGATAAGGAGTGGTGAGAAAGACAGAAGGAACCTGGTTCCCTGATGGCACTGCTGAGATGCCACATCTGCCCAAAATGCTTAGATTCCCAAGCGTGCATTTCTCTTAAACTTCTGTTAGTTTAGGCTGCTGTTTTCTATCACTCACAGCCAAAAATATTCTAATATATACACCAGCAATAACTTATTTTCCCCCTTCTGTATCCTGAGAAGCTGCTCCTATTTTAACTAACTGCGATGCACCCTATAACTGCTCAGTAACAGATACATCACCATTGCAGTGGAAACCTCATCAACAATTCCCACTTGTCAACACTAAGGATGTCTCACCCAACAGGCTCACCAACAGGCTTCAGAGAGAATCAAAAAAGCATCAGAAACAACAAGGCACATCACTCTACCGAGCCACACTGTGCTTTCCTAAGGACCATTACATTCTGATATTAACAATGCAAAAGAGAATGATAACAATGCAAAACGGAATGATGACAAAAAAGACAGCAATGCTATTCCAGTGACCAAAGAAATGAAGAATCTTCTAAGTTAAGACAGTCTTAACCTGTCTCACAAAGAAAAGTAAATATTTAGTGGCATGCCTAGATTAAACACCAGAAATGGAACATCACTAAAAAACAGAAAACAAGAACATGAAAATACCTCTCGAGGGCTGAAGAGCTGACCTGATTCAAATGCTGCTTTATAGGGCCTCAGAAATGCACCTTCTGTGGAACTTAAAATTCTACAGTAACTTCTATTATCTGTAGATCTCTCTTGATACAACATAAACTCCTAGACCTCAGGAAGCAAGCCAGTAACAAGTATTGACAAATGCTGAATGAATGAAGAAGCAAAACTACATAGAGATTACTTTTCCAAGAGACTTTATGAAAAGCATGCAGTTCTCAAAAAGAAAAAAAAATCTGTAAGCATCACTTCTAGAAATATAATAATGGGTTGAAATAATTGTGTATTTAATGGTCAAATGTCTGTAGAAAGAAAAGAACAGAACTACAACTAACAGGTAGCTATTGTTGTATAAACCAGGTGAGGTGTTAGGCACTTTGCATCTAGTATTTCATGCAGTCTTCACCGCTCCCCAGTTAGGCACTAGTCTCTCCCCTTTCCCATGAGGACAAGTTCAGAGGGAGCTTTGGAGCTCACCTGAGGTCACTTTTCTAGCAAAAGACAGACTGGATACTCAAACCTAGGAAGGTCAGAACCTAGGAAAGTCAGCTCTCACATTTCTGCTGTACAATGCTGCTTCTCACTTTTGTCTTTATGAAAATATTATTTATAAACTGCATACCTACATTAGCTGAGGGAACATTCAAAGGAACCTTCAGTCTATGGCCAAAAACATAAGCCAGGTGAGGCTCCACTGTAATCTCAAGCACAATTACTACATGCCCATATCATAAACCAGATGTGGTTCCACATGACCCAGATAGTGACTTTCTCTAGCTCATTTTACAGTTGTCGAGACTTATAAAGGCTCTACATACCTATGGCATGTTTTTTTTTTAAAGCTACCATGTACTTGTATGACCTAGAAATGATAAAAAGAAACTTATGAGTCAACAGCATTAGTTTCTCTCAGAAATCAGCCCTCTCCCATGTATGGTACAAACACCCCAGCTCTCCTGTCACATTTACAGAACATGTGGCACCAAGACCCTGGGGACCCTGGTCTCTGGGGAGGCTTACAAATAAAACCCACTGTGTCTATGAATACAACATATCGAATTGATTGAAGCAGTTTAAAATAATGAATTCATTTGAACCAAAAAGAGAAACAAGTCTACTGTCGAAAGAAAACAAATTGCATGTATATTGCAATAGGCTTCTAATACTTTGCATTGAATAACTACTACCTCTTTGAAGTTGATGAAAACTTCTGTGAAAATATTTATCCAGTAAACATCTCAGTGAAATAAACTGTGATGACTCCAAAGAAACCAAATTTAACAACTTTATAAATTCTCATGGAGAAGAAATAGAATCACCACCCCCGAAACATTTGGTAATTATTTATACACAATATGCTCACAGTCTGTGATGAACGTGCAGAGATGCAAAAGTTACTGGAGTATATTAGCTTAAACATGAGCTTCTTTACTCTGCCATTTCAGGTTAACTTTTCCAGCAATTTTTTAGTAACACAGAGTATTCTGCAAGTCCTCACTTCTACCACGGAAGCTATCTAATACCCATTTGAAAAAAAAAAAAAAACACACTAAAAATGTGTTAGAAGCCAAACTTATTTTGGGATAGTTATCGGGTGACAAAGCACACTTCCATTTTTTCCCTCCCCCTTTCTATTAGTTAGTTATCTATTATTTTAAGATTTCCCATACACATACATTTGAAAAAAATATGATTTAAAAGGATGTTGAGTTTTTTCCCAAATAATAGCTCGATTCTCTTTGGAAAGATAAACAAATCCTTTTTTCTTCAGTAATGCATCATTTCAATACTTTCCCATGACAGACACAGACACACACACACACACACACACATAAATAGTATTCTCAATTAAATAACACTATAACACTCACAGTTTTTCTCCTATACAGTTATTTTTCAATGTGTTCAATCTTCACCAAAGGCCAATGATTTTAAAAAACAGGCTTCATAACAAAAGAAATGGGAAGAAGATACTTTCACAAAGACACTATCAGGCCATAGCTCAGAAAGAACTCTGCGTACAACTTCTTTGAAAATCTCTGCTCCAAAACTTCAAGCTTTCTAGTAAATTAGGACTCCTTTACGAATGCTTACCTTGCTTAAAGTATACCTTGAAAAGTAGGACAAAAGCATCTCCCTTGCATTTAACCCCACCATCATACTGACACTGCTCATTTACAAAATGAAATATTGAGGTCCACATTAACTGCTATAAGCAATTCCAGGATTAAAACTAAAAACAGGATCAAGTGTGAAAATACTTCCTTATTCACCAGCTAACTTTATTTCTTTCTCCACATCTTAAAATAATTCCTAACAGCTGACAAAGGCTCCAAATAGTATACAAATATCTAGTCTACAAATAAAGCTTTAGGAGTTATATTAAGCAGATTTCTGATGATATTGGACACAATCTTAGAACCACTTCCTACATACAAAGTCTAGCCATGAAAGGAATTATTAGTTTTAAACAGAAAATTAAGTGAGCTGATTAAATATAGATCAAAGGAAGTTCTACCATGAAAAGACCAATTTTTGTCACTCATGGAAAAAATGTATCAATAAACAAAAAGCAATCTGGTGTTTCTCATTCTGGCCTATATTGGTTACCACCTATTATAATTAGATTAAAGGTAGTTTTGCCTTCTTCCCTTCTTCTTTGTGCTTTTAAGTTATTTTCCAATATTTTTTACATAATCACATATTTTATAAGTACCAAAGTTATTTTTAAAAATCTTAGACACTACTGAGATATAATCTCCTTTTAATTAGGATAAAGCACATGTTAATATATTTTTAAATATATTGATAATTAACTAGTCAAAATTAAATTTATAACTTTAAAGTAACTTCTTATCATATTGTCACCTATAAATTCTGGTACAAAATCACATTAAATCTTTTAAGGCTATTTTGTACTTTGAAATAAGCTAACTAATGAACTGATATATACATTTCATATTCATCTATTTCTGCTCCAAAAATTAGGGGAAATTACCTGTTTCTTGTTCCAAACCATTCTCCTTTATCTGTGCTATTTATTATTTGCCAACTCTTAAAGTATATTTTTATATTTTATATATTATATGACATCATTATGTCATTTCTCTGACAGTTATATTAGTCTATAAAATACATATTTATATGTCTGCATATATATGCAAAAGTATATATATATTCCTCAAAAAAGTACACATTTACATATATATACATTTATGAATATACCTATATGATCTGTACTGTTTAGAGATTTCCAGCAGAAGTGCCTGTCAATCCAGTTTCAGGTTTTATATAGGCCAACCTGACCAACTAGTTTGACAAGGCTAACAGTAGTTTTGAATTCTATTTTTTTCCACTTAAGTGACCCATTGTTTAACCAAATCAGTAAAGAATTTTACAGATTAGCAACCTCATTCCTCTTATTATATTGGTCACCTTTACCTTTCCCAGAGACCAATATCCTGCAATCACCATGACTTGATTCATTAAGCATTTATTTGGTACTTAGTATTTCTCATTACTGTGAAGGTAGGAGCTTACAGAGTGTGGCAGTTCACGAATTATAAATGTAGCTGAAGGTTTAACACTTATCTGTGCATCTTACTATTAAGCCAGTGATCTCTAAATTCTTCTAATGATGAGAAAAGGGAATATTGTTTCAATTTTCTGCTAATGTTTCAATGCCAAAGGTGATATGATGAGTTCCTTGTATATGTCCACAGGACTTGCTACACATGGCCAAGCCAGTCCAGAGATCACCTCCAAGAGTCTGTGTATGAGAAGAACTGCACTGCAGCAAACTCTTCAAAGAAAATTCAACAGATCCCTTTCCTTCTCTCTCTAACACCTCATAAGGAAGGCAAAAAAAAAAAAAAAAAAGAAAAGAAAAGAAAAGCCATAATAAATTGAGGCTATCTGCAATGACAGAGGCTGATATTCTATTCCCTGCCTGGATGCCTGCTTCAGTGCAGAAACCATGGCTTGTGCATCAGATTGGCTGGCTGATGCCATCTGCAAGGCAACAGAGCCCCAGTAGAAGTAGAAGCAGGCTGTGCCCTCGGGGTCTGATGGTGTTAAGATGAGAGTTTTCCTGTGGACCTTGTGAATACTATGGAAGGTTGTCATGTTTGAATGATCCTGAAAAGCCTCCATCTGAGTGGGCTGCCTGGACAAGGACACAGAGACACTCCAGTGATCTTCCACTGGAATATGAGGAGCTGATATTGCAGTGCTCAAAGCAAATAATGGCATGATGCCAATGGACCTGCAAGGGCTCTCCAAAAAATCCATCAGGGTGTGTATGAGAAAGAACTGGCCTTGAAAACAAACAGCACCTGCTACGTGCAATAGCCTTGGCCCCTTTTATGTCCCCCGTGTCAACTCTGGAGGAGCCAGATAATGTGTAGGAGAGGAAGAGAGGAGAGTTAAACCAGGAATTCCTTTTCTTCCCTACTGCTGATCACTAAGCCTGGGCTCAAGCCTAAGAATGAAAAAAGGGGAGAAGCTACAAACTGGATGGGAAAATGGAAGTTTTGATTTACATTGTACTATGTTTTTCTAATATTTGAAAATTAGGTTGTTCCAATACTGTAAAATGACTGAAAAGCTATAGGATCTGCCAAAAAAAATCATTCAAAGTACAGGAGAGGAGAGAATAAAGCTATTTTCTGTTTATGTCTCACTAAGTGTGGCCCATCCAACAAACCAATTATACTATGTATACAACCTATGTATAGTATACTATGTATAGTATAAAATAAGTCTTGTGACTTTTTTCCATAAAGTTAAATCTGAAAGAAAACTGAGAAGATATAGAAATATCAAAATGCAAATGTAATATATTTCATAAAATGTTAACCACAGAATATAATTATGTCAACAACTTTAAATGTAAATGGACTAAACATTCCATCTATATGGCAAAGATTATCGGAATAGATTTTTTTAAAAGCAAGAATCAACTATATGCTCTCTACAAAGAGACACATTTTAAACGGAAACACACAAATAAGTTGGAAGGATGAAAAAAGTTATATCATGCAAACAGTAAGCAAAATAATGTTGAACTGGCTATATTAATAAGACAAAATAGACTTCCACACAGAGGATTACTAGAGACAAAGAGAAACACTTCATGATGATAAAAGGGTAAATATAAAAGAAATAGTTCTAGAAGCCTAAGCCCTTCATTTAAACCGGTGATGTGAAATGACTTGCTCAAGAACACATAATCAGCTAGGGCAATGGCCAGCTATAAGTCACTTCTCCCAATTTCCTTTTCGAAACCTTTTCCCTATGATCGGTGCTCCTAATCTGAGCTCATTCAACATGAAAGCAACCAACCTATTTGATCAAAACTGTCAACTTGGTAGCTAGGCAAACACAGCCTTGGAAGGAGGGGAAGACCACATGGAAGGGGTAGAAGAGGGTAGAATCCTGAGCAGGGTCTGACTCCAGCTGAGGCGCTACAACTTGCTAGTTATGTGGCCCTGAACAAGTTACTTAAATGGGCCTCAGTTTCTTTTTCTGTAGAATGAGGATACTGCCACCTATCTCACAGGATAGATATAAAAAATGATGATAAGGAGGACGAGGTCAATGACTTGACCAAGGTCACTCGGCTTCTCAGTAGCAAAGCCAGGACCCCACAATGCACATCATACACGCTCACAACCATTTTGCTAAACTTCCTCCCAAAGGAGAGTCCCTAGAGGAGTTCCTGACCTTCACAAGACACTTCAAAAAATGTTCATTTCCTTCCCAATATACCGATGCTGTAGTTGCAAGTAACTTTATAAAGGTATTTCTACATGGGATCCTCACACAGAAACATATATCCTTTTTCATCTACATACACGAGTTTGAGATGATCACTTTTTCTCATCATGATGGCTTTTTCTCACTCTTTGTAAGGTCCTAAGGTCAAAGTGAGTGAGGCAGGCAGGGTAAAAATTTCAGTGATAATTTAATTTATATCATCTCTTATATTCCAAATGAAGCCACATAATTAACACATTTTAAATCATCCCTCAAAAAAAGAGTTTAAACATATCATTTTGCTTAAAGGAAGAAACAGCCATTCCACTGTTTTGTGGTTATAATAACCAAAGAGGCATCACATTCTCAGGACTGTAAACTCAACTTTCAGTTTGGTGAAGGACTCTTCAGAAAATGAACTAATTCCCATGGGTAAGTCTGTGCTTCTAAGACCAATCCCCGTATAATATGTTCAAGTATCTTGGCAATTTTCTGGATTATTTTTATTACGTAATTGAGGATGTTATACAAATAGGTGTGATTTACAATCACGCTGGTCTTTCTCTTTTCAGAGTCTAGTCAACTATCTTAAATGTCAAGGTTACAGTCAAGGTCAATATATTTCACCCCAGGAAAGTAGGTGTCAGCAAGGCAGTAATGCCCACTTATGCTGCCTTATATAAGGCAGAATTTAAAAGTAAGACAAAACTTGATAATTAATGTTAAAAAATGCATTGCTTAGATACTAATTTTAGAAGCAGCAGAATGCATACAAATCCAAAATAAGATATACAAAACCATGAAATAAGGAAGGAAAGCAAAATAACAGTTTGTGGCCCATGTCCTCATCTTACATATTAGTTTTAGGACACATTTAAAAGCCTACTACGTGCTAGCTACAGTACATGTCTGATTTAAAATTTGAGAATGAATTATGACTGCTTGAAAGAACTAAATAGCTCATAACTAATGTATTCAAATAAACTCAAATGACCAAACCAGTGGTCATTTCATGTGACTCACTGAAAGTTCACGCACATATGTAAAGGAGAAGAACCTTTATTATGTGACCCCATTCTATGCTGTAGCTATGTCAGGTTCTGAATAGTATTTTAAACAAAATATATCACACTTAATCAAATGTATGCATTACCTAACTAATAAAATAGCACCATACTGTTTAAAAAGCTCACTCAAGTAATAATATTGGAAAAAGAAAAAGTAATATATTCTTTTTTTTTTTTTTTTGAGATGGAGTCTTGCTCTGTCACCCAGGCTGGAGTGCAGTGGCACAATCTCAGCTCACTGCAAGCTCCACCTCCCGGGTTCACGCCATTCTCCTGTCTCAGCCTCCCCAGCAGCTGGGACAACAGGCGCACGCCACCACGCCCGGCTAATTTTTTTGTATTTTCAGTAGAGACGGGGTTTCACTGTGTTAGCCAGGATGGTCTCAATCTCCTGACCTTGTGAAAATATATTCTTTTTTTATTTAAAGCAAATCAATGTCATGCTTTATATTGAAGATGTCTTTATATCCAATCTTTATATTAAAGAATGTACTGAATATAAATCATTCAGCAGTTATGTTTGCTGTTTTATAACCTCAATTCTACAAATATTTTATTTCTCCATTGGTGATAAATTTAGATTGAAATTAATAAATAAAATAACTCATTCATAGCACCTCCATTGTGCTGCTGGGTTTTTTCCTGACAGGCACCAAATTAAGCAAAACACTACAATGCACTTAATGAATGTCTTATGATAATTTATTCCCCACACAAAAAAAAAAATTACAAAGAGAAAGCACCAACTAACTAAAGAGAAATTAAAATATTTCCTAGACTACTGTTAATATGTTAAGAAAACAGAGCCAAAACCATTTTTATTTTGTTTTAGAAAATTACCCCAGGACTTACATTGATAGCAGAAAAATTCAACAAATACACATTACTTATCAAATTACAAATTAGGCAATGATTCAAGTTCCTAATTATGGAAAAAGATTTGAGCTCATTTAACATGTTTTAATTATAAGACTCCTTAAAGAAGTATGTGCAATTCATGTAGAAAAAAAGAAACAGATAAAGAAACAGGCTAAAGAAAGACATGATTTATCTCATCTCTGCCTGTAAACAAATTAACTCTTATGAAAGCTCAGTGAAAGCAAATACTCTCTAAACTAAACCAACTCAAGAAAAAAATCACCTTTTGAAATTAGGAACATGTGTTCAAATGCCAAAATTATTATTCTGATATTTTTGGTCTGTAATACTTTGTTTCTGTATCACAAGGACTGCTTTCATCTGCATGTAAAAGAAACCCTCCACTGTATTAGGTTTCTAGGACTGCCATAACTAAATACCATAGACTGACTAGCTTAAACAACAGAAATTTATTTTGTCACAGTTCCAGAGGCTAGAAGTTCAAGATCAAGGTGCCAGTGCCAGCAAGCATGGTTTCTCCTGAGACCTCTCTCTTTGGCTTGACGACTGCTACCTTCTCCCGTGTCCTCATATGGCCTTTCCTCTGTGCCTGTATGGTCACAGATGCAGCCATTCAGATTCAGGTCAGGTCAACCTTATTTTGAAACTTGTCTATACCACTGATGAACCATGTGACCCTCAGTAAGTGCTGTAATCACTCAGTTTTCTTAGTATCGAATGGTCGTAATTATACCTAACCTGCAGAATTGCTGAGAGAATGAAATGGGATTGTATTCTGAAGGCCCAGGGCACAATGCCTAAGCCTAATAAATAATGGGTTAGGGGCCCGGTGTTAAAGAATCCTGGAAGTTTCAACATTTTTAAAATATTGCAAAGCCATCCAGTAAAGACAAAAATATCAAAGAATTGGCTCCATTTCTTATGTATCCCATTCCACAGTGTGGCTCAAGCACCTGCGGTGTGTGTGTGTGTGTGTATGAGTGTGTGTGTGTGTAGAGAAAGAGACTTCCTTTCTGAGGGTCTCATACCCTGTGTCTCGTATCCTGTGTGAGGATAGGAAGCAGTTATTGGTAAGCACTTATGTTCCCTGCACCATAACCCTTCTGCAATAAGAAGGCTGCTGTCACCTCTAGAAGGAAATGGACAGGAACTGCTCTTGAGATATTCTAGACCAAAAACCCTGTTGACAAATGAGACATACCTTCCATGTAATTATTGCCTTAACCTTTCCAACAAAGCTGGAAGCACTTTGGTTCAATATTAAGTAGAACATTTCCAGAAGGTTTTCAGAAGGCATCTGCTGCTCTTAATTAAGGAGTGGATTCCTCCTGATCATCAATCTTTATGGAAAACCTGTTGGTCTGCCATGTTTATAATACTGTAGCTGAGAAAATAAAAATTAACATAAAACAAAATGGTTTGGGAGAGCCTGATTCTGGCAGAGCCACTGCCAGGATATGTGTTAATACCCAAATCATCTGCACTTTTAAATTTCCTCATTTCCCTTTGGTAGCTGCACAAGAAATCCCTCTATGCTACTTATGGCAGATGGGGAGAAACTTTAACCAGTTACTTTGAAACTCTTTCAAAGGAAATGAAAAATGGACAGAATGGGGCCAAGCTTAAGATTCTCAGAGGGCCTCACAGGTCCAAAAAGTCTCTAAATAAAAGGAAATATTCTCTATCTGTATTTCCAAGTGCTATCATGAAGTGTTTTCTGAAAAGCTGTAATAACTAAACTATAATCCTCCTAAATGTTGTCTGCACTGAAATGTGAATAATGATATATCTAATAATTAACATACTTAGCACTTTTCGACACAAAGCTAAAAGAAATCTGTGAAATCAAAAAGAAGCCAAATGTGAAGAAAACACCTCTTAAGTCCTATTAATGCTCCAAGCTTGGGGAGGGGGGCCTGGTGAAGACTGTCAAAGACACTCTTTTCACAAGATTCAAACCACTACGAATAAAATGCTCCCTTCTGGTTTTGGAACTATAAAACATGTTCTTTCAAAAACAGTATTGTATTCAGCAGAATATTTCCCTTCAATTAATTAATGGCTTTCTTGCTTTCTCTGTTTGGCACTGATGTACTTGCAGGTCATTTTGAAAAGAAAATGCTACAAGAAAATGAATACAAAGCATTTTAAATTACTAAGAGTCCCACTTAATAAAATAATCTGATTAAATAAATTATTTTGTTCCTAAATTTCCAACCAAGTTTGAAATAAGAAATTTTTTTTCTAATTCCAGGTTATAACACACTGTTAAGAAAAATAAGAATAACTTGATTAAAATCGAACTCATAAAATAGGAAAAACAATATGAGTATGTGCCTATCAGGAAAAAAATGATAACTTATCTTCAGGGAAATGTCTCCTCTGGATCTAGTATACTGATTACAATATCAGGATTTCTGTTACCAGAAATAATGGATATAGAATTTTCAAATTACTTATCATATTTCCAAATTGATTATTCTGCTACTTTTCAATGACCAGTGTAAATAATCATGAAATACTTTTTTCTTTAATAGGTCTGCAGATGGCTTCGGTTTACTAAACTTTGGCTTTTTTTTTTTTTTTGCTTAATCATCAGATTGTTTTCCTAATTTACCCAATCTGCAGGCTTTGCAATAATGGCATTTGGTTATTTATTCATTTAAGAGACATCAACTTAGTCACTAATATGCACCAGATTGTTCCATTTCCCAAGAGAGTCATGCTGTGGCTAAAATTTGCAAACTGTTCAACAGGAGGACTAAAGTAGGGCACCCAATCTGGACTGGAGTGGAAATCAAGGAAGGCTTTACAGGAAGATGACAACTGTATGAAGTCTCTAAAGGCCTGTAGGAGTCAGCCAGTTGAAGAAGGGGATTGAGTGCAAAGTCATAGTGCAAAGCCACAGTGTCCACAGTGCAGCAGGCTTTATGTTCTTGGATTTCAACACAGCCTAGTATAGGTGATGCAAATAAAGGAGTTAAAACTTCATCACAGGGGTCAGGCCAGGGATGGCTTACATTTGGCAAATTAGGAAAACAAATTAATCCTGATAGCAACAGGGAGCTGTTGAAGTATCTTAGAGGTAATGCTATAATAAGATTTGTTTTGTGCAAATTACTTTAGCTGGTTTGGAGAATGGAGTCAACGGGCAAAGATGTAAACTTATAAAGTAGTGTCTATTTGTCTCCTCCAGTAAACTGTAAACTCCTGAGAGCAAGATCTCACTGTTAAAGTACCTGATGCTCACTGAATAGCCAATAGAAGACATGAATGGAGGCACAGATAAGAAAGAGACAGTATAGAGAGACTGAATGAAAAATTCTTGGAACAATCAAGACAGGAAATTCTGCAGACATAAATTCAGGCTAGCGGCAATAGGAATGGAGAAAAGTGAACAAAAATGAAGGATATTGATGGGGTAGACTCAACAGATGGATAGCTTGTTTCATGAAGATTTAGAAACCGGAAGGAGACACAAGTTTGGAGTGAAGTTGAGGACTCCTGTTTTGTACACTTTGATTTGAAAGTCCCCATAGACTTCAATGTCAAGATCTCCAGCAGACAACAGGATATATCTGGAGCTCCGACAAGAGGTCAGTGATAGGGGAGTCTTCAGTAAATTGGGGGTTATAAAAATGGTAGAAGTGAATGAGTTATCTTATACAGAAAGAGTTTACAGAGTGAACACAGTCAAAAGCAATGTAGAGACCTCCAGAGAATACCATTTTAAGGGCTAAGTAATGAAGAGGTACTCAAGAAGCTCTGCCTCTAATCTATGAAAATAGTGAGTAATGGACAACCAAACCCTTGGAATCAAGGACTTCAGGAATATATAAGGGTAAAAGCAAAAATGAATTAATCTAGTGCAATTCCTTCATGATGGAGAGGTGATATGATTTTTCCAGAGTGACCAACTCTGAGAACTTGCAAAGTAGTAGCTGCTAATGACTAGTATCTTGGTTTCTTACTGCACACAATTTGGAGGTAAGAAGAAATGAACTCTGATATACCTTATAGCAGTATTATTTTATGATTCTAATTAAGTTCCATTGCTTGTTCATTCAGGACAAGTACACAAACCAAAGAGCAGACTTCACCTTTCAAGCAACAGGGCCAAGAAAATGAGAGAATAAATGAGCCTGAAATTTCAGAGTCTTGCTGCCATGCTGAACAAATGGGGAAATACAGCTTGTTCATTTATACTCAGTGATGCTAATGATTCTGTTAAATTGACTTCCTTGAAGGAAAATTACTGTTAATAACCTTAATTTCCTCCTAGTCTCTTCCCCCAGGTACCTGACATTTTAAATAAAATATTTTTATAAAATATTAAAATCAAAGGAATTATATCTATCTTAGGAATCCAACTCCATGCTGAGAGACTTTATGAATCCCTTCTGTCTGTCCTATCTATAAGCCTACATTTTTGGTTAATCAGATAAATACATAACATTTCCCATTCTACGCATTTCCCAAGAAGCATAAAGCATAATCCCTTCCAAAGGGAACTAAAAAAAAAATTTTTTTAATGTTACTCTAAGGCCCACCACAAATTTTACTGATACCAGCCATGTGGTATTGTAGAAAATTCCCAATTTCAATTTCAATTTCAATTTAATCACTGTAGATGCAGTTTTATTTTCTTTGTCCACAAAACCAGATCATAAGCTTTCTACCCTGGACTGACCACTCAACCATGCAAACCTCTGTTCTGGAGGGCAAATGGGTGGGGGTCTGCTACTGGCCTTCCCAGACCCATTCACTTACCTTTTCCACCCTTTTCCTCCTCTCTCCTGCCCTCTGGCTTCTGTCTGGGTTCGGCTAATGGAAGACACTAGCCAGCGTTTAGGGGACAGGCAGAGAGTGAGGAAGGTATATATATTCCCCTCTGTCTCCCTGGAGGGATATTACAGGCAGACGGGGTCCCTCTAGAAAGGGATACAGCTCTTGTCAGCCTTTCTTGCCCCTTCCTTAGAGTAGGACTAACTCCCCGTCACTGCTGGGTCTTTCTTTAGCATTCACCCTGATTGTATTCCCTACACCTGCCCACACCTTGCAAAAGGTCCCTTTAACAAGCCCTCCTCAAAGGACTTGGCGTACACATGCCATCTGTTCCCCAGCAGGGCCCTGAATGATACAGGTTGAAAGAGTGACCAGGTGGTGCCCTCCACTGTGCTTTCACAGACATTATCAAAGGAAATTGTCTGTAAACTGTGAAACACTATAACATTTCCATGAGCAAAACCTAGCACAGACTTTCTTGAATATGCAAGGTTTCAATGCCAAGGAAATATGACTGTCCCACCATATTTCTACAATTCACAGTGTGTTGTAAAAATAAACATGCAGAAGGCATACAATCAGAATCTGAATGTCACTGCCAACCAAACCAGAATTTTTCTTAAAAAATGAGTATCTGGAGAAACAGATGAAAGGACTAAATCCATCTTTGGGAAACAGAAACAGTATTTCACTTTGCTGTCATTTATCTAATCAAGACTCACTAACCCTGACTGAGTCTCAGTCTTTCAAGGAATGTGGTAAAATTCACAAATAATTTACTTCATATCATTAATAACAATTACAGTTATCAAAGTAGTCCCTTCTGAACACAGTTAGGAATCAATCAGTGACCTAGATTTCCTGCAATATTTCTCCCAATATCTCTTTAAAAGAAAACATGGTGTAGCAGCCAGGCGTGGTGGCTCACACCTGTAATCCCAGCACTTTGGGAGGCTGAGGAGGGCAGATCATTTGAGGTCAGGAGTTCAAGACTAGTGTGGCCAACATGGTGAAACCCCATCTCTACTAAAAATACAAAAATTAGCCGGGCTTGGTGGCACACACCTGTAACCCAGAATCGCTTGAACCAGGGAGGCAGAGGTTGCAGTGAGCCGAGATCGCACCACTGCACTCCAGCCTGGGCAACAGAGTGACATTCCATCTCAAAAAAAGAAAGAAAAGAAAGAAAAGAAGAGAAGAAGAAAAGAAAAGAGAAGAAAAGAAAAGAAGGTATAGTTTCTAATTTATATAGTCCTTTATCAACATATCATTTCAAAAAAACATAGCCAGGCCAGACGCAGTGGCTCACACCTGTAATCCCAACACTTTGGAAGGCTGAGGTGGGGGGACTGCTTGAGCCTAGGAGTTCAACACCAGCCTGGACAACATAGCGAGACCCTGTCTCTACAAAAACAGAAAAAAATAGCCAGGTGTGCTAGTGTGCGCCTCTGGTCCCAACTACTCGAGAGTCTGAGGCAGGAAAATCGCTTGAGCCCAGAAGATGAGGCTGCAGTGAGCCATAATGGCATCACTACACTCTAGCCTGAGCAATGGAGCAAGACCCTGTCTCAAAAATAAAATAAAATATAAAAAAATAAGAGTCAAGGACATTAAATTCAAGTATCCATTAAATAAAACTCATTAAATAGCATTATCTCCTAATCTTCTCATTCTTTAAGTAAAAAGCAAAAGAGATTCTTAAATAACTAGTATTTGAAAACCTAAAGCTACAAACACACCTGGATAGGATTTTTCAGCAATGAAATTAATTTTCCCAGGCCAGTATCAACGTCTGATCTGTCTGTGTTGGCTGTGGACCACCTCACTTCTCTAACAACAGATTAAAGGGTGCTTATGGACATGTCCCTGCTGGGAAGGGTCTAGAGTTTCACAGCTCACCAAATTGATCAGAAAATAGATTTTCAACTCTCTGATTCTACAAGATATGTCTTTCTTAAAAGAGTTTTTACATTAGCCCCTTAACTGATCAATTTGTTTTGATTAAGAACTGTATTTTCAAGGGATTTTAAGGACATAGTCTGTTTCTAAAATCACTTCCTGGTATGCCATATACAAGTGAAATCTTACTGAATTAGTAAAGCGAGGTAACAATGTGGGACATGCTGCAATTAGAGGCTATGTTCAGCTGCATAATCAGAGGTTCCACAAATTTCATGGAGACCTTTTTTAAAGGCAATTCATCAGTGCTCTGTCAAAATTTGAAGTGTGCATAGGCTTTTGACCAAATAGTTCCATTTCTAGAAATTTAGCTACAAAAAAAATTCTCACACATGTGCACAAAGACCTACGAACAAAGATCTTGAATCTTTCAGTTTGCAATAGTGTCCACAGAAGAATGGTTAAATAAAGTACAGTACATCCGTACTATCAAATTTTATGCAATGTTAGAAAGAACAAGATAACTAACATATTGACATGGAAAGCTCTCCATGATATACAGTTAAGTGGACAAAAGCAAGTCAGTCACAGACAAAAATGTATACAATATGATCCAGTATATGTAATAAGAAAATGACATGTATATATACTTATACATGTAAATGTACAGAAAAAAGGAGGGAAAGAGGCATTCTAAACTATTGCCAATGACTGTATCTGGGAATGGGTGTAGGTGGAAAAGGGTACTTTGCATTTTGCTTCCATATTTCTGCATTATCACTTCAATTGGAACATATTAATGTATTACTTACATCATTTTAAAAAACCAATGAAAAAAAATTAAAAGAAATCCCAGAGAGGGCTTTGGTGATTTGTCCAATAATAGCATCTTGGCAGATATGAGAGAAACACATCCCGAAGGAACTGCATTTTCATTTGATCCAGTGTGGTCTCTCATTTAAAAGCAACAAGGAAAATGAGGGCTGTTAAGCGGACTGCATCTTGAAACACTGGTCTGCAGGAACAGATCTGTATTCTATATTTCAGGACAAATACAGCTACTACCAAATAGCAGGGGGGACATCTTGTGACTGGTTAGAGTTCAAATCAGTGAGGCAGGCAAGAGAACCTCTGTGTCTCCATAAATGAAGTCACCTATTTCTGTACACTTGGGTGTTATTTTTTATTTATTTATTTATTTTTTGAGACAGAGTCTCACTCTGTCACCCAGGCTGAAGTGCAGTTATGTGATCTCGGCTCACTGCAGCCTCTGCCTCCGAGGTTCGAGCAATTCTCCTGCCTTAGCCTCCCGAGTAGCTGGAATTACAGGCGCCTGCCACCACACCCGGCTAATTTTTGTATTTTTAGTAGAGATGGGGTTTTGCCATGTTGGCCAGGCTAGTCTCAAACTCCTGACTTCAAGTGACCCACCTACCTCGGCCTCCCAAAGTGCTGAAATTACAGGCGTGAGCCATCGCGCCCGGCCAGGTGTTCTTATTTTAAAGGAGCACCATGAAACAGGAGGAAAAAACATGCCCTTCCCCCCTCAACTTTGTGTATTTGCCAACAGCTTGGAAAAATAGGGTATAGGGAGAGAATAAACAAGCAGAAATTCAGAATCTGAAATCTATGTACACTGGAAATAAATGACCATAACAACCTTTATAAGAAATTTTACAGCCAAAAAAATTAAAGGGCAAAACAAAAACTATTGACATGTTCTAGTACACGGTGTTTCCAAGCACTTACAGCTAACAAAAGGCTCAACATGGGAGCTCCTGGGTCAAACCACAAACATGCTTTGTTTGGCCACACCATGGGCTGACAGGTTTGTTTTCCATTTTAATTATTTCCAAACATTTTAAAATGAGAAGACTCCAAATAAATCTGGATTTCATGCTTCTCTTGAAAATGTGGAGGCACTGGTAATCCTGGGCCCTAGGCCCACCTGGCAGAAACCTGTCAGACCCGAGTGGTAGCTGCTCCATGGGAAGGGGCACAATTGGGCCCCTGGATGGGCGCAAGCCTCACCACTCCCTAAGGCCTCTGACACCTGGTCAGCCACACTTGGGCCTTTCACTTACTTGGCCCTTAGAGGAATCAGAGTACACCACACCCTCATTAAAACCATGAGGAACTTCACCAGGTAAAAACCGGCCTTCCAGAAAACTAAAACTATTTGTTTAGGCTACCACGAATTAGCATTTAGTACTCTCCCTATCTCGGATTTCTGGCATGCAACTGCAGAAACAGAAGTACCTAGGATTAGATAAGAATGCATTGTTTTATCCTCAATTTCTTATTCCAATTCCATATTCACAGCAGGATTGCCAGAAGCTTTTGTCATATCTCAGCCTAGTCACTTAAAATAATTATCACAAAACTTGTTATGGTAACAAGTCTTTCTGCAGCATGTACCAGCTTAATGACAGGTAATACACAGTACGGTGGTTAGAAGTTGGAGTTCTGATGTCAGCCTACCTGAGTTTCAGTCTCAATTCTAACTTTAACATCCTGGGATGATTAATTTAACATCTCCTAACCTCAGTTTCCCCAAGTATAAACTGGAGATGCTATTAGGACACACTCAAAAAGGCTGTCAGAAGTATTAAATAAAGTGGCACATTTTAACTGCTCAACAAATGTCTGTTGTTTTATTTTGTTGTTGTTATTATAATACTATGTAAAGCAGAGAAGTTGAGTACTCTCCGAGAAACTCCATGGAAAAACAAGAGCTATGGTGACTGCCCCTGAACACCAGAGACCCCTAATTCTTCTAGTGGAGGCCTTTCTCCCTCCAGGTCTAAATGGCTTAATATGTTTTGTTTTGTTTTGTTTTGTTTTGTTTTGTTTTGTTTTGTTTAAAAAAAAAAAAAAAAGCCTAGCTGGGAGACAGATACCCTGGGGACAGCATCTGGCTCACTGAATTATATTCTGAAACACCAAAGTCACAGAATTTTGAAGCTATTAGGACTGAGTTAATATTAGGTCCCTCTGTCCAAATGCAGTCACTGGGCTTGGCAAGTCCAAAGGAAGATCTGGTACTTCATGGTGGTCCTGTGGGGTGACTGAAACTTTCTGTACTTGCAGAGTGGCAAAGTAAGTGTCCCTTGTAAATTTTATAGGAATTTTCTCAGGCTGCTTTGTATGGATAAGGTCAATGCCATCTACCCCTATGAAAGAGAACAAGATGAGAGCCATAATACTAGTAGTACCATTAGGAGAAGGGGCAGTAGCACTTGTTAAACATGCTTTTAATTGTTCAGGAGCATAAGAAAGGCAATGTATCTTAAAGTAATGATTTTCCTGGCCCAAGGGTGTTTCCGTAGCTACAGGTGGAATTTCCCAAACCTGGGCACACCCAAAGATCCTGGGATCCTTTGAGCACCTGTAGTAGCAGCAGTAACAGTACCCTGTATCATTCACAGTGCAGCACCAAGCACTTTTGCCCCATAGGGTTATTCTCCTCATTTTACAGATAGGGCAACTGAGGCTCAGAGTGAATGCCCAGGGTCACACAGCTAAAAGAGGGCATCTGTCAGCATTCAAGCTAAAACAGGGCATTTGTCAGGAATTCAGTGCCTGATTCCAACGCCTGAAGATCTCAGCAACCACTGCTCAATGCAAACCCACAGTGAAAACACCCACCCAGCCAGCTGCCTCTGGGAGGAAGCATTTCTCGAGCACATGGTCTTCGCCTTGTGTGGGTCATGAATGCCCTTCGCAATATGGTAAATCTTAAAGACCCTTTTCAGCAGGATATTTTCATTTTATTATTATTTTTTAATAGACTGTCACTCTGTCACCCAGGCTAGAGTGCACTGATGCGATCTCAGCTTACTATAACCTTGAACTCTTGGGCTTGAGCGATCCTCCTGCCTCAGCCTTCCAAGTAGCTAGGATTACAGGCATGTGCACCACACTCAGCTAATTTTTTTATTGGTATTTTTTGCATAAATTGATCTTACTGTGTTACCTAGGCTGGTCTCAAACTCCTGGCCTCAAGTAATCCTCCTACCTCAGCCTTCCAAAGTGCTGGCATTAGAGGTGTGAGCCAGCATGCCTGGCCCAGCATAATATGTTTAAATATATAAAATTAAATACCTAAAAGTACAATGGAAATCAATCTCATTGAAATATAATTATCAAAATAACTCTTTAAAGGGATATGTGAAGTAATACATGTGTTTCTCTTCAACCCACTAAATGCCAAGATCTAGTAGTAGCCCTAACACCTGCCCCAATTGTCACTTGGAAGTAAGTGAATATAAAGATGTAATTCATTTGCCAGCCACATTCGTGGACCCACCAAACTGCATCCTTGGCCCTAAAATGAAGAACTCCTGTTCTAGAGAAGAAAGGGAGATGTCAAATGTAAAATCAGGGGTCTGTGGTCTGTGGTCTCTGATCTCTGGATGAGCTGCTTACAATTAATTACTTCAAGTTGCTTTTTTCTTCCTGTTTCTAAGGAAATGGCTACTTCAATTCACTCATGTCTGGGAGCCAAAGACATGCTTTAATTGTTCGGGAGGACAAGAAGGGCAATGTATCTTAAAGCCATGATTTGCCTGGCCCAAGGGTATTTCCGTAGCTAGAGGTGGAATTTCCCAGCCCTAGGCATACCAAAAGATCCTTTGAGCTTTGAAGGAGAATCCCAGGAAAGGGGAGAAGATAACACTATCTTATGGTCACATGGTGTGTGACATTCTCATTGAAGGTTTTATAAGTAGTGAGTAAGAGAGGTGTTCAGAGAAAAACCTTGGATTTATGTCCATTTCAACTATTTTTATTTGATAAAGGAAAGGAAAAGTAGACGAAGTGCATGCAGGGAAAATAAACACTCTGCTGGTCATTCATTCCCTGGAACATAAGGATCTCCTAGCTGAGATTTGAAAGGTACAGCATTATTACTTTCATCTCCTCTAGAAACTTGGGTTACGCCTTCAGCATAAAAAAGCATCCAAAGTCGTGAGCTTCCACCCAGACTCTTTCTACCCTTCCACCCAGAAAATGGGGTTTGGGAGTGGTTGCTGCAAAGGAGTGAAGTGGGCCTTGCAAATAAAAGTTATTCCAGGGTGATATTTTCAAAGCAAGCTTAATTCCAACCAAGACAATGTAAACATCACACTCATCCACTCAGTAATGCATAATCACCCAGGTCTGCCTCCACTGGCAAGGAAGTAAACTCATTTTTATACTTGGTTAGCTAAAGAATCACAGCCTAGGAACATGTAAAACCTTTATATCATTCTAAGGCATAACTAGATAAATAATATTACAATTTGAGAAAGTATTTCTACTTTAAAGGGTGAGGCTTTATCAAAAGCAAAACTATTAAACAAACAAATACTAAGGAATAGAAGAAAGAGCTACACAAGTTTATTCATTTTCCCAATATGAGAGGGAAATAGGAAAATGTGGAATGGACAGCACTGAGAATTAAGCAGTGTCCTTGCAAACACAGTTCACATCTGAAAACCAACAGCAAAACCACAGAAAGTCACTGCTGCCTCCCACCAGCGATGAAAAGCTGTATTTATTTCCCAACAGGCAGATAAGTCTCCTTGACAGACACTAATATGGCCTACACATTCATATATTATGAGGTGAAAAGCAACTATTTTAAAAACTTCAATCTGGACATAAAATACCAACTGTGATCATTAAAGCATCTCCATTAGTCCTTGACCTAATTTTGCATATCAAATACAGAAGTTCTTGGTTTTACAGGGACTCAACTGTGGTAGATAGACAGTTTATTAAAAGACCTGGGTCGGCGGTGCTAATCAACATGCTGTTTCACCCTTACTTTATAAGTGATCACAAACAAAAATTTAGTCACAGCCTGCTAAATAATTTTAAGTTTCAAAGAAAATTTATACTTCCTCAAAAATAGTTTACTATTAAGTGTGGAGAGCATGAGAAATCCAAAATCTTTCTTACATTACCTAAGTGCTCTAATCCGAAAAGATAAAATTTACTCTCAAGATTTCAAAATAAAAAATCAAACTCAGCTAATTACTAATTTTTTTTAATAATCTGCAAAATTTTTTCATTAATTCTGTTATTTGAGTTTTCCAGCTACATCTGAAAAACTGGGGATGAAAATTCAGACACTAAACTCAGAAGCTAATTTCACTTATATTGTTACATCCTTTCACAAATTAGCATGCTAATGTGATCACAAGGAAAACAGCACAGCAGCCCTGAAGCTCACTTTTACCTCAATTTTACTTAGAGGGTGAGGTAAAGATGAATACCAGGCAAACATTTCAATTCTTAATAAATCAAACCCCAAAATGAAGTTAGTGGTATCTTAGGAAAATACCATGTTTACTGAAATTGCCAAATATAACTGTCCCATGTTGCCAAAGTCAGCAGTATACATTAATCTAAAGACAGTTGTGTGTAATCTTGGGAAAGGCAAACTAGCTGTGCTACGGGCACTGAATGGACTCTGCTGTGGTTGAAATATTTCAGAGGTGATACAAATTTTTAAAATCTTTTCCTGCAAAAGGTTTTTGGTAACCTGTAACACTTTTTCAACTACCATATTTCTTTATCTCATAAGGCAAAAACACACCGCCTCACGATTCCAGGACATGTAAGCAGTTTAACATCACTCACATTTTCAGGCATATAAATATAAAACTTCCAATAGAGTATTTTAGAACAAAGCTTTCTGCGTGGGTATGCATTTGCAAAATAAAGGTAGAGTTATTCCGACAGATTTAAATGTGCACCCAGTGATCAAATGGAGTTAGAAATTCTGTTTTGACAGTTACTTGTAGAACAGCATTTTCAACAGCGATTAATTCAGAGCTGGGTAGTAATACCATCAAAACTAAGTTCCAACTGTTGAGTAATAATATAGTTGGAAGGAAGTGTAGTCCATAAGCTAATACATGGTACCTTTAGATATGTTATAATACGTCACATTCAAAAGGTTACTCGTCTGGCAGCAAGTCTTACGTTCATAAAAGTGCCAATAAAAATGTTTTGCCATTTCAAAAAGTGATTTTTTATGAAAACAGGTGCTCTCCAAAGATGGCAATCATTTATTAAACTACTACAGTTCAAAAGGAAGATGATATAATAGATCAATACACCAGCTAAGGATCATGCAAGACTGTCCTATGAAAAACAGCATTCTGGATTACATAACACAGATAGTGAGGGATTACACCACATGCCCCTGCTGAGCTAGACTTTTGATCTTCTGTATGATTCTATAACTGAGGCCACTCAAATTTGAAGAGTATAAAATATGAGGGTCTCAGTTCAACCACACATTTCTGAAAACAGCCGTCTTGAAAACAATAAAAGAATAAAGTTAAAATTTTACCTTCCCCCGCAACACACACACAATTTTTCTATTCTGAAAAACACAGTTGTTCAGATACTTTCTTAACCTCCTTGGAGCCTCCCCAGGTAAAGTCACCAGTTGCTTTTCCTGGTCATGTTTACATTATAAATCTGATTTCTCTTTAAGGGGAAATTCAATATCATTTTAAAATGATACATAGCTGCCTATGTTTGAATAACGTTATTTCCAGACAAAAAGAATTATTAAACAGCTATCTCCACATACCTATAACTTAAATATATAGACCACTAAGTATTACGTATATGGAAAAAAAAACACCTTTCCTGAATATTCTGGCCAAAATTAAATTTCAAATACATGTTTTAGAACAATAGCTAGAATCACTACAGAAGTTAAGAGGAAAAAAAGTTGGAAGAGTAGGGTCATCTTTCAGATATATCCATATTTATGGAAACTATAGTGGGCAGTTGTATTTCTCTCTAGGAAAATGCTAGTTTTATGATTCTAGATAAAGTTGCACTTAAACACACTTGGAAATTAGAGAATTCCATATTTCCATACTTCGATTCAGTACCATATACGAAGTCTACACTCAGAAGTATTGTACTATACAGAGTCTAATTGGTTAAAGCAAAAGCAACTTTAAAATTCTGAAAATAAGGATTTCCTTCACTAACAGGCTTTTAGGAGGCCCGAACCCTGCCCCCAATGAGTGCTAAGCCTGTCAGTGTTGTTTTAAGTGGAAACGGTCAATCATTTCTATGATTTCCCCAGAAGAGGCAAGAAGATCCACACGCATACACATTTACATGCGTTGCACGGTGCCAACTATTTCCAACCAAAATAATCATATACACGTCGAGCCGAGCTATTTCTAGCCCAGAAGAGGGTGAACGTCTGGAGAGAGTCTGAGGAAACCCAGCAGGCGATGACTGCAGGGGAAGGGGGATGGCGTCTGGGTCCCCTGCCTCCCGCGCG
Source organism: Homo sapiens (assembly GCF_000001405.40). Lineage (NCBI taxonomy): Eukaryota > Metazoa > Chordata > Mammalia > Primates > Hominidae > Homo > Homo sapiens. The sequence continues at coordinate 9,069,365 of NC_000020.11, read as the reverse complement.
CACAGGGCGCCTGGCACCCGGCACCTGCACGGGGTCCCCGCTGGGCATCCGGGTGCGCGCGCGCGCGCGTCCGGGACGCACCCGCGGAAAGCAAACAAGCCCTGAGGGCCAAGGCGGGCGGGAGCATCCTCGGGCGGGACCCGAAATGCCTTTTCCTACCTGTCACTTTGCCTGGAGCTGCTGCCGGGGATGCGGCGACGGCCGCTGCCTGGAGACCCAGTGTGTACGCGCGTGTGTGTGCGCGCCCGTGTGTGCGTGTGCGTGTGTGTGTCTGTGTGTGAGAGATCTTGTTGGCGGTGCAGCTCACTTACTGCTCCCGGCGCGGCGCCACCACCCCCTCCTCGCCATAAAGAGCCGCCGCCAAGCCCCCTCCCGGCGCACCCCAGTCCCGCCCTCCCGCCTGCCTCCGCACCCCCTCCCTGGCCTCCCCGCCTCCCCGTCTCCGCGCCGCGCGGTCCTTACCTCAGTTGAGGGCGGGGGTCTCCGCCGTGGCTCCCCAGCGAGCCCACGGGGCAGCGCCGACCCGCCCGCCCACCGCCGGGCCCTGCGCGTCCCCCGCTCCGGGCCCCGCCGCCCCTCAGCGGCCAGCCGCTTCCTCCTCCCCTGCCCCCGAGCCTCCCTCCTCGTTCTCGCCTCCCGGCTCCAGAGCCCGAGCTGTCGCCTCGCAGCCCCAACCTGCCCAGGCTACGGAGCATGCCCAGTGCGGCGCGCCGGGCTGGGCTGGGGGTGGGCAGGGGCCGGGCCGGCCGCCCAGTTGCCGCGAGCCCGCAGGGCGAGGAGTGGGCGCCGACTGGGTCGGGGGCGCAGCCTCGCGAGCCGGGGGCCGAGCAGCCGAGGCAGGTGGTGGGCAGCGCCAAGAGGAGGTGGGTGGGGCATCCGGGGAAGCCGGCCCGCGGCGCGCTCCTCTGGGGTCTCCCTGGCGGCTCCCCGCGGCATGTGCCCCATGCCCAAGGGTCGGGGGCGCACGGGATGGCGCTGGGCGCAGAACCCAGGGAGCGGGGGCAGAAAAGCGGCACCCTCCTCGGATGGGAGACCCGCAGCCCGCCGTGGGCCGTGTGGAGGGGCTCAGGACTGGCCAGAACGGGGCCCCCAAAGCCGTTGGCTGGGTGGGGGACGTGCTTATTTGTTTATATTCGGTTTCATAAACCCATACAGCGCCTACAATGCGTCCTGCAGTGTTCTAAACGCTTTTTATTCATTTAATCCCTAAAACAATCTTCCAAAGAGTACTACTGCCTCTTTTTATTTCGCGGGTCTTACACAGAGCCACAGAGATTAAGTGGTTCCAAAAAGTCTTCCCACAAGTGCAACCTCAGACATGCAAATCCCCCAGACTTTGGTCCCTGGGATGCTGGGGTGCTGCTCCAGCCAGTTCCTGGCTTTTCCCGGCCCTACAACGGCCCCCAGGTGCCTCCGAGTCACACTCACACCCAGGCCCTAATGGTGTTCGGTCTGGCATCACCCTTGTGTGGACCCTCACAACGTGCTGCTCCCGAACTCCGGAGGGCTCCCTCCTCCCCACTCCGCCTCCTCCTTCTCCCGGCCGGCGGCCACCAAAACCCGGAGACGTGGCACCTGCGCATTGGGGACTGGGGCCATGCTCGCAGCTGCACTAGGCATGCTCAGCCGCCTGAGCCGGTCCGGCTGGCCAGGAGGAAAGAAAGGGCCAGACGGGGCGTGAAGTGTAAGAAATGGAGGGGGAATGTGTGTGCAAACAATAGTCCAGGCTCTGATGGGCAGGGGCAGTTGTAGATGCAAAAGACTCATTCCCCTGGCACATCCTGGCCATTTCCAGGCAGGGCTAAGAGATGGGGGTAATAATCATCAAAAGTTTAACCAACTGGGCATCCTTAAGCAAGAGGGGGCTGAGGCCCCACTGACCACTCCCCAGCTCAACTACTAAGCTGTAATTTTAGCTGAGCCTGGAAAAAAAGCTCCTCAGCAGCTGAAGCTGTCTGCCTGTGAAGAAGCCAAGAAAAATATCCCAGACCAAGTTTCCCCACAAGATTGGAAAGGAAAGATAGATCCCAGGGAAAGGCTGGTGGCTCTTCACTGTTAGGGATATTAAAGATGTGGTGATTTTGGCTGGGCGCGGTGGCTCACGCCTGTAATCCCAGCACTTTGGGAGGCCAAGGCGGGTGGATCATCTGAGGTCAGGCGTTCGAGACCAGCTTGGCCAACATGGTGAAACCTCATCTCTACTAAAAATACAAAAAAAAAAAAAAATTAGCCGGTCGTGGTGGTGGGCACTTGTAATCCCAGCTATTCAGGAGGCTGAGGCAGGAGAATCTCTCGAACACGGGAGGCGGAGGTTGCAGTGAGCTGAGATAGCCCCACTGCACTCCGCCCTGGGCGACAAAAGCAAAACTCCATCTCAAAGAAAAAAAAAGGGATCTGGTGATTTTGAGTGATTCCAGCATGATAAGGCAGTGTGTAATGGGCATACAAGTTGCCTGAGGATCTTGTTAAACTCCAGATTTTGATTCAGCAGATCTGGGGTGGGATCAGAGATTCTGCATTTCTAACAAGTTCCCACACCATGCTGATGTTGCTGTCTTTAGATAGATTTTTAGTTGCAAGAGGTTAGGGCAGTATTTTAGGCCTGTTCTTTATTTTATATGTATAAGAAAACCAAGGTTCAAAAAGGTTAAGCAATTTGCCCCCAGGTCACACGGCCAAGAAGTAGCATCACTAGGCTCAAACCCAGTTCTCCAGGGCTTCCTGTGTATGTTCCTCTATTCCCCAGGTATCACTCACAGACAGATGAGCTGAAGCTGTGTGTCTTGACAGTTTTTAACAATAGAACATAGTATTAGTAGATAATGCACCCAAACACACTATATCAGTTAGCCTTTAGTGTGTAACAAACCACACCAACACATAGTAGCCTAAAGCAACAATTATTCATTAGCTCACAATTCTGTGAATCAGTAACTGGAGCTAAAATCAGCTGAGCAGTGTTGTTCTCCTGGGCCTACTCATGCAGCTGCAGACATGCGGAGCTTGGAGCCTCATCCGGATGGCAAGGATGACAGGGTATTCCCATATGGCTTCTTCGTATGGTGAGTTCCTAGTTCCCAGCAGCAAAAGAAGGAAAGCCCCAATTCAAAATAGCATTTTATACCTCTGCTTGCTAATGTTCTACTGGCCAAAGCAAGCCACATGGCCATGCCCAGATTCAAAACATGGAGAAATCAACTTCAATTTTAATAAAAGGAGACACAAAATAGAGTAGTATTTTGTTTTTAAAATCTACCACACACATCAGAGTCCATAAAACTAGCCCTCCTGCCTTAGAGTTCAAAGTTGTATAGATTAAGCCTATCTTTCATTTTATATATTGGTAAACCAAGTCACAGTAATCTTTGTTGTTACTGTTAAGTCTTCAATCTAATAATATGTTTATTAAGGAATCTCAACTCAGGTATAAACATTAAATAATTTTTTTCTCTAAATCCTAAATTCAATCCAAATTCTCAATTCCCTTACCCTGCCTTTGATGACATGTTAGATGGTCATTCATTCCACATTTTTTTTTTTTGAGACAGGGTCTCGCTTTGTTGCCCAGGATGGAGTGCAGTGGCATCATCACGGCAACCTCAAACCCAGGGGCTCAAGTGATCCTCCCACCTCAGCACTCCCAGTAGCTTGGACTACAAGTGTGCGCTACCACACTTTGCTAAATTTTTTTATTTTATTTTTTTGTAGAGACAGAGTCTCACTATGTTGCCCAGGCTGGTTGTGAACTCCTGGGTTCACATGATCCTCTTGCCTCAGCCTCCCAAAGTACTCAGATTACAGGTTTGAGCCAAAGGATTGAGCTTGGATTACAGGTTTGTGCCTGGCCCATTGAACAAATTTTTTGAAACCTTCTATGTGCCAGGCACTACTCTTTGGCCAGGATACTAAAATAAGCAAGAGACAAAAATAATTGCCCCTAAGAAACTTAGATACTATCACAGGAGATAGACAATAGCATATTAAAAATATAGAACATTGGGCCAAGTGTGGTGGTTCTAGCCTATGATCCCAGCACTTTGGGAGGCCAAGGTGGGCAAATCACTTGAGGTCAGGAGTTCGAGACCAGCCTGGCCAACATGGCAAAACCCCAACTCTACCAAAAAAATACAAATATTAGCTGGGTATGGTGGCATGTGCCCATAGTCCAGCTACTCAGGAGGCTCAGGTGGGAGAATCACTTGAATCTGGGAGGTGGAGGCTGCAGTGAGCCAAGGTCATGGCCACTGCACTCCAGCTTGGGCAACAGAGTGAGACCCTGTCTCAAAAAAAAAAAAAAAATATATATATATATATATATATATATATATAAACATTGAGTAGTGCTAAGTAGTGTTTTATAACCTATATAAGTAAATATATATATAATCTCTCTGTCTCTCTCTTTCTCTCTCTCTCTCTCTATATATATATATGTAAAACATTGAGTAGTGCTAAGAACCATGGTGAAAAGAAGGCTTCCTGAGATGAGGTAGAGAGGCAGCTATTTTAGATAGGGATCAGAGATGGCCACTCTAAGGCCATTTGAGTGGAAGCTGAATGAGAGATGTTAATATCTAGAGAACAGTGTTTCCAGCAGCGAGACCAGCCAAGGCTCTCGGATGAGAATATGCTTGGCATGTCCAAGGGATGAAAGGAGGCCAGAGTGGCAGAGCAAGACATGGAGTGAGCAGAAGTGGGGTCACAGAGGCAGCAGGGGGCCAGACCATGTAAGGTCACAGAAACAACCTTGGACTTTAGTCTGGGTGTGTCATGAACCCATTGGAAGATGTTAAACAGGGTCATGACATGATCTGATTGATGGTTTAGGAAGATGTGCATTAAGAATGCCTATAGGAGGGAGGGTAGAAAAAGGAGCCTATTCTAAGGATACAGCAGTGGGTCCACTAGGGCAGAGTTTATCACTTTTCAGTATTAAAACTCAGACCAAGTGTATTAGTCTGTTTCATGCTGCTGATAAAGACATACCCAAGACTGGGTAATTTATAAAGGAAAGAGGTTTAATTGAGTCACAGTTCCACATGGCTGCAGAGGCTTCACAATCATGGTAGAAGGCAAGGAAGAGCAAAGTCACATCTTGCATGGATGGTGGCAGTCAAGAGCTTGTGCAGGGGAACTCCCCTTTATAAAACCATCAGATTTCGTGAGACTTATTCACTGTCAGGCGAACAGTACAGGAAAGACCCATCCCCGTGATTCAATTACCTCCCACCGGGTCCCTATCACAACATGTGGGAATTGTGGGAACTATAATTCAAGATGAGATTTGGGTGGGGACACAGCCAAACCATATCATCAGGTTAAACCTTCACCTTCAAACTCAACTTAAATTCAGTCTTCTGTCTTCTCCCTGTCCCACTGCAAGCCCTATTAGATGCCTTAATTCTTGAAGTGGAAGGTTACTGGCACAGGATCTGGCATTTAAACATTTTCCTACCCACTGCCCTTCCCCAGCCACCCTCCCCAACCCTGCCATTTGCCCTTCAAGGCCTAGTTCCGCCAGAATGTTGGGCAGCAAGAAGAAAAGGCCAGTGTCTCTACCTTTGACCTATAGCCATTATGGCCTTCTCTTGGTTCACTGTGGCTGCTTCTCTGGCTAGGAAATCAGGGACACAATCTGTCAGGAGTGCAATGCAAGCTCTCTGCCATGGAGATAATAAGGGAGGCCCTTGGAAGGTCCTTCTGGAATTCCAACCCCAGGTTCTCCTTTTTTCCCAGGCTCCACAGTTCTCTTCATGGTGGTCCAGCCTAGAGCATCTCAATGCTGGGTCTCACATGCTAGGTAGGCCACCCTGTTGGGTGAGGCATCTGCAAGAAAGTTAAGCTGAAGAGCCTTCTAGAGTATCTACTGGAAGCCCAGAGAAAATAGAGAAAATTGCCCATCCCAGCCAGGCTAATGGGTTGGCCAACAGGAAGGCAGGTAAGATGGAGCTGTTTCTGCAGCAAGGAGGATGCCTAGACCAATTTTGAAGACTTTCTCTAGAATGTAGATCCCTGAACACCTCATCGTGCTCAGCTGCAGACTCTAGTTATCAATTACCTGGCAACATTGTGTTATGAAAATTAACATTCACCACAAGAAAAGCCAAAGCAAACTGCAAACGCCACCAGTTCTTTACTTTGATTTGTATAAAGTCTTGCTTATTGTCATTGTTACTTAATATGAAAGGATAATAGTGACAATAAGGACCTTTAGCTGAATAGTCTCAACCGTATTAGCAAAAGATCATGTTGTATCTCTTTTAGACAAAGGGCAGTACATCTCTTGTTCCCATTTAAAGTGGCACATTAATTACAGTTTTCACCTAGCTTTTTGCATGCTGTGCTTTGGAAGACAGAGATCACCACTGGCGCATTTGCCCAGTTTACCTTAATTAGAGACATATATCTTTGAAAAGTGGGCAGCACACAGACAGGCCTGATACGAGCTGTCTGGACCTCAGGGTATCCTTTCCCTAACTTTGTGTCTTGTTCCCCTGTGCACTGAACAACTAAAACAACTTTGGTTTTCTTTGAATACCAAAGAAAATGATAATGAAGAAAATTGCCTAAGGATTGAGTTTATGTGCAATGTAATGTCTGGTGAAAAAAAAAAAACTCCCACTGAACTTTCGATTAAATTAATCATTGATTGGAGTGTAAAGGGAAAATAGAAAAGTAAAATAAAGATTAATTCCATTCCAAACTACTTGCTTAAGAATAGAATTTTGTATATATCAGCTAGGCTTAGGATATGATTAGACTGCAGATGTTCAACTAGACTGGATGATGACGATGAAGAAGGTGATAAAGATATTTTATATATATATATATGTACAATAAAGTACAAAAATCTTAAGTGGGGGCTTGAGGAGTTTTACTTATATAAACGTCTATGTGACCACACCTCAATAAAGATATAAATCCTTTATAGCACTCCAGAAATTTCTTCATGCACTTTTTCAGTCAATATCCTTCCCACATACAAACACACACACACACCCCACCACCACCACCACCACACCACAGGTAACCACTATTCAAACACCACAGATTTGCTTTCTCTTGTTTGTGAACTTAGTATAAATGAAATCATGCAAAAGGTACTCTTCCGTGTCTGGTTTCTTTCACTCAGCAGTACGTCTGGGAGATTCATTCATGTTGTAGCTTGTATCTGTAATTTCTTCCTTTTTATTGTTGTGCAGTATATCCTTGTATAATAAAATAGAAGGTATTTATACAATCTGTTTTGATGGTAAAAAAAAATTGTGGGATTTTTTAAAAGTGCACATGAAAGGTCCTTGAAAGCTGGTCTTGGCCGGGCACGGTGGCTCACGCCTATAATCCCAGCACTTTGGGAGGCCGAGGCGGGTGAATTACTTGAGGTCAGGAGTTCGAGACCAGCCTGACCAACATAGTGAAACCTCATCTCTACTAAAAATACCAAAATTATCTGGGCATGGTGGCACGCAACTGTAATCCCAGTTACTCGGGAAGCTGAGGCAGGAGAATCACTTGAACCAGGGAGGCAGAGGTTGCAGTGGCCACTGCACTCCAGCTTTGGCAACAGAGCAAGACTCTGTCAGAAAAAAAAACAGAGAGAGAGAGAGAGAAAGAAAAAGAAGGAAGGAAGGAAGGAAGGAAGGAAAGAGAAAGAAGGAAAGAAAGAAAGAAGGAAAGAAAGAAAGAGGAAGGAAGGAAGAAAGGAAGGAAGGAAGGAAAAGAAAGAAGAGAAAAGAAAAGGAAAGGAAAAGAAAACTGGTCCTGGTACTACTATACTACTTCTTTCCATATTCTCTATTCCTAGCACAATGTGGTATACTAAGTGCTCAATACTGGGTTGTTTCGTGAGAATAAAGAATATTCTGTGTCATGGTAAAGTAAATTCCTAAATATTTTATTCAAAAGAACAGAAATAAAATTATGACATATTTCTGGATAAAAAAGGGTTTACTCCAAATAATTCAAATGACAATTAAAGTATTTTTCTGATGCCAAAACATCAGTAATCATTCCCTTGAAATATGGGGAATATGTGCTGTTAAATTTAAATCAGAAAAGCCTCAAAACTGATATCAGCATTTAACCTACAGAATATGATTTACAAATGAGTGCACTGTTCCCACTTACCTGTTGTTTATGACAGGATTATGTAAAATGAAATCAGAGCATATGGAAAATATACCCAGTACTTAATGAGGCTGCTCAACTGCTGGCCTAATTGCATGGTTTTATGTTTCTCTCCATTCTTTAAATGTGAACAAATCAGTTTTGTAAATACAATGATTCGTTCCTACCATTTCTGTTATGCTGCAACAAGATTAGAAAAATACATTAACTTACAATATAAATATCAATTGCACACTCAACAAGACTCAATGTTCTTTTCTTTCCTTCACTGACTCCATGTGGTTGGAATCACAACAAAAGTACAATTCAGTTAAAATGATTGTCCCTCTATGCCTCAGGAAGCCCAAAATTTTCACCCACACACAAAAATAAATTTTTTACATTATTTTTTAGTCAATTTTGCCATTGTGATTAATACTGACCAAAATAATAATATTTTTTTGCAGTTTTCCACCTAGAAGTGACTTAGAGGATCAAGTGATCCAATCATTTCAACTAATTGATGAACTTTTTGTTTTTTGAGACAGAGTCTCGCTGTGTCACCCAGGCTGGAGTGCAGTGGCGGGATCACGGCTCACTGTAAGCTCCGCCTCCCGGGTTCACGCCATTCTCTTGCTTCAGCCTCCCTAGCAGTTGGGACTGTAGGCACCCGCCACCACGCCTGGCTAATTTTTTGTATTTTTTAGTAAAGACGGGGTTTCACCTTGTTAGCCAGGATGGTCTCGATCTCCTGACCTCATAATCCGCCCACCTCGGCCTCCCAAAGTGCTGGTTGGTGAACATTTTAAGTCCGAGAGGCTGTGTGACTTGGTCAGTTTGCATACCGGCTGATGGGACTCCAGCTTCCTTTTCAGAAATTGGACTCACATCAGTTCAACAAAATCCAGAAGAAAGAAGACAAGATTAATTGAATTTTTACAGAATTTTATGAAGCTTATATTTTAGCTCATGATCAAAAGAAAAATTTCCTTGCATTTCATAGGTGTTTCCTCAAAGAGGTTCCTTTTCTAGACTTTATTAAACTGAGCTGGCAGAGTGCAGTGACTCATGCCTGTAATTCCAGCACTTTGGAAGGCTGAGGCGGGTGAATCACTTGAGGTCAGGAGTTCGAGAACAGCCTGGCCAACAAGGTGAAACCTCGTCTGTACTAAAAATGCAAAATCAACCAAGCGTGGTGGTGCATGCCTGTAATTCCAGATACTCAAGAGGCTGAGGCAGGAGAATGGCTTGAACCAGGGAGGCGGAGGTTGCCAGAAAGTCCCATCTAAAATTTAAGCAGGATTACCACATACAGTAGGTCAGGTTGCGCACTGCATGAGGATACTCAGTCAATGGGCCAAGTGTTCGCTGAGATGCTCCTCTTGCAAAGCCTTTTGCTTGGCACTGGGCTGAATTGGCCCCAAAGACGTAGTACACTTTTTTATTTTGCACAAAATTGTGGTATAGGTCTTACTCTTTGGAGTGGATGCACCCACCAGGTTTACCTTATATATATAGTGTTTTATAAAATGCAGCAGATTTGCAGACAAACAACTAACAGCAAAGGATTTGTGTGATGTTTATGCTTTTTCCTTCTCTTTCAAAATAACATTAATGCAACCAGAAATGAATGTGTCCATTTTGGCTGGTTCATAAAGGGCTTTATTCCATCTCAACTTCATGGTAATGGCAGAAGTACCAGAGAGAGGAAGTGCCAATGCCAAGCCCATTTCACACCTCTGCTTGCTTCATGTCTGCTACCATCTTGTTTTGCCCAAAGCAAGTCACTGGGTTGGGCCCGGTGTTTAGGTATAGGGCAAAGTGACCTGCCCATAGTGGTAGGGTGCTACAAAGGGTACGGATTGAGAGAGCGGTGAATACTTGAAGTTATGACTGCCATCTACCACATGCCATTATTAGATTTCACCTTCCTTAAAGAAAAGGACTGTTTCTTATTTAAATTCTAATCTCCAGGGTTCAACATGGTGCTTGGAATATAGTGAGGTGGTAAAAAATATTTGCTGAACTAAAAATAAGTAGCCCTGCAATCTACCAGGTGGCTGGAACCAGAACCAGTGAATCTTTTATTTATTTATTTATTTTTGGTTTTATTTTTCATTGACAAATAATAGTTGTATATATTTATGGGGTACAAGATGATGTTTCCATATTTGGCTTCTTCAGCAGCCTCATATTTTATTTTGAGTCTGTTATTAAGTAGATTCATCTACACCATTTACAAATATCTCTTAAATTATTCTTTCCATTCAAAACTCAGCTTCTCTAACCCCTCCAGTAGGAATTAAGCCTCTTAGACTTCCCCAAAGCACCTGGTACCGTCTTATTTCATAGCACTTACCTCATTATTTAAGAGTTATCTGTTTATCTGTCTCACCTCAAAGGAGTGTGAAACTCTGGAGGGTAAAATCAGGATTCTAACTCATTTTTTCCTTGCCAAAACAACTGCAGTATACATTTTATAATAGGCAGTACATGCACAAAATACAAAATTCAAAAGTCATAAAAAGGGGTATGTTTCAGAATGGCTAGAAGATTTGGAATGTTCTTAATACAAAGAAATGATAAATGTTTAAGGTGATGGATATCCCATTTCCTCTGCTTTAATCATTACACATTGTATGCATGTATCAAAGTATCATATTTATCCCATAAATATGTACAATTATTATGTATCAATAAAAAGGGGGTATGGCCAGGTGCTATGGCTCACACCTGTAATCCAAGCACTTTGGGAGGCCGAGGCGGGTAGATCACTTGAGGTCAGGGGTTCAAGACCAGCCTGGCCTACTTGGTGAAACCCTGTCTCTACTAAAAATACAAAAGCTAGCTGGGCGTGATGGTGGGCATCTGTAATTCCAGCTACTCAGGAGGCTGAGGCAGGAGAATCGCTTGAACTGGGAGGCAGAGTTTGCAGTAAGCCAAGATTGTGCCACTGCACTTCAGCCTGAGCTCCGTCTCAAGAAAACGGGGGTGGTGGGGTTGGGGGGAATACAGAGAAAAAGACTGCCTTTCCCCAAGACTTCAAGTTCTGAGAGGGAAGCATTATATTCCTGTGCCTTATTTAGCCTGCCTGTGAGTCTATACCAGTGTATGTATATAAACTTACATACATACATTCTTTGTTCTTCTTATACACTATTCTCTTTAAAATTTTGTAAATTATATATATGCATGTAGAGCAGCCTCTATGTTTGTAACAGCTTCATATCATTCCATTGTATGGATGTGCCATGATTTATTACATCTGTACAATTCATGACTATTCCTTACTATAAGAAACAGTGAAAGTAATATATTCCCACGCCCTTCTCCTTTTCCTCCTCTTCATCATCCAAAACTGTAGTTGCTTACCACATAACTTGTCTCAGTGTTAATCTTTGAAGCTTTAAATATATCTTTACTTCTAATACTTGCTTTATTTGATTTATAATATCTTTGACATCTGGTTCTAAAGGTAATCAGTATATTTACATTGCTTTTCATCTTTCTCCTCCTTCCTTTCCTGAATGTTACTATGTTACTCCTACATTTTCTGGGTTTGATTGGCATTTGATTTAGTCTTAGTCTTAAAATTAAATCATTTCATTAACAGTGAATGTGCTGTATTTTCTCCAGTCATCTCTTGGTTTGCTGACATTTGGCCTATAATAATTTTTTAAGGGATTATGGAATTCATAATCCTTAATGAATGCATGCCAAGATGTCTGTCTGTTCACTGCATACTTAATTGATTGCTTGACTTTGTTTAAAATTTTTGTTTTACCTTTTCTTTCCCTGAGGACTTTGTAGGCATTGCTTCTAGCATATAATGTTGCTGTGAGGGTGTCTGAGGCTGGTCTGATGCCTTTTCCCTTAAAGATTAATTTTTTTAACCAAGATTTCCAAAGGATTCTTTATCTTAAAAGTAAAATAATTTTACTATAATATTTTTACATCAATGGTAATATTTAACAGTGAAAGACAGAATGCTTTCTCAAGTTTTAAATTCAATGTTGTTATGACTAACATTTTCTCATATTATATTTTCTCATATTTTGAGATGAACTATATGTGCCTTAGATTGCCTTGTTGGTCTTCCATATGTCACTTCTCTCTAATCTTTCTTAACTCTTCATTCTTTTACATTATATTTTGCTCACTTTTCTTAATCCTATCTTCCATGTCTGCTACTGTGTTATTCGGCACAGATTTTTTTTCTTTCTACTTCTCACTGGAGTCTCTATTTTTGTGATTTATTTTTCTCTCCCATTTTTCCCTTGCCTGTGCTAACTAATCTCCTGGTTATATCTTACTTCATCTTCTCTGAAGTTTCCTGGTGAAACAGATTTGCATTTATCTTTCCAGCCCACAAAAAGGCAGCTTCAGGGCTATTCCCAAAGCAAGGTCTCTTTCCTCCACTCTGCTGCATTGAGAGACAGCTCCCTACAAATAATCATATCTGCGTAAGTCTTCATCAGCCCTGACTCTTTGGTAGAAAATTTTGTCTAGGGAAGCTCTCACTACCAGCTGATAGTCTTCCTTTCTGTTGTTTAAAACAATCATGTGTAAATTACATTTCAAAATTTTTACAATATCCCTAAAAATAGGCTGTGTGCTTTGGAAAATTCTACTCTGTTGTCTTAGTCTTAGATCTACTTCAATGGGGTGTCTTGTTTCAGCATCTTCCTATATTCCTAGTTGATCATCATTGAATGTTGCACCCCTAACTTACATATTTGTTAAGGGTCAGGAAGTTGTGTTTTTTTCTCATTTTCTTTTGTTTTAGTGTGCTTTGCAAGAGGGAAAGGAAATATTTCTTTACTAGGAAATTTTAAAATCAGAAAAGCATAGCAATAATTTCCATATTCTAGCTCATTTGTCTTCTAATTTCCAAGGTCTAGTATGATAGGTACTTAATTAAATTGCTAAAAGGAAAACAAAGAAGGAAAGTGTATTAGTTTTCTATTGTTGCTCTAACAAATTACTTACAAACTTAGTGGCTCAAAGCAACACACATTCGTTATCTCAGTTCTGTCGGTTAGAAGATCAAACTGAGTCTCACTGGGTAAAATAGGGGTGCCAGCACAGCTGTGTTCCTTTCCAGACTCTCTAGAGAAGAATCTGCTCCCTTGCATTTTCCAGCCACTAGAACCACCCGTACTCCTTGGCTCATGGCTCCCTTCCTCCGTCTTCAATGCAGCAATGCTGGTGGCGGGTCAAACACTTCCCACATGCCCTCACTCTGACCTTCTTTTCTTGTTCCCTTTCTACTTTTAAGTAAATATATGATTATATCCAATCCACCTACATAATCCAGGATAATCTCCAATATCTCAAAATCCTTAATTTAATCATGTCTGCAAAGTCTATGTTGCCGTGTAAGGAAACCTATTTATAGGTTCTGAGGATTAGGACACGGACATCTTGGCGGAAGAGAGCATTGTTCTATTACAGAGGAAGGAAGGAATTAAAGGAAAAAGTAAGTTAGTGGTTCTTACGCAGATTTAATTCTATGACACAACAGCAGGGTTCTATTTGGCATTAATAGAGGCTGTAAAGTTTCAAAGTACTCAAATACTTGGCCTATCCTGAGATAAGTAAAAATCTTACAGAGTGGGATTGAAAATCATATTTTGTCTCATATAAATATACCTCGATTAATCCTGTTTTTAGGAAGAAATTATATCATTTAATATATATTATTCGAAAAGTCTGTTAAAGCATTTCCTAGATGTACTGGTTACCAACACAGTAAATAGTACAAGACGGGCCCGCAGACCCTCTGGTCTGTGGCCTGTTAGGAAGCGGGCCGCCCAGCAGAAGTTTAAGACGGTATAGCCAGTGATCATTACCTCCTGAATTCCACCTCCTGTCAGATCAGCTGTGGAATTAGATTCTCACAGGAGTGTGAACCCTGTTGTGAACTGTGCATGCAAGGGATCTAGGTTGCATGCTCCTTATAAGAATCTAACTAATGCCTGATGAGCTGAGATGGAACAGTTTCATCCCAAAGCTATCCCCACCCCGACCACCCTCCATGAAAAATTTCATCCAGGAAACTGGTCCCTGGTGCTAAAAAGGTTGGGGACGGCTGGTATAGGAGATCAAATATAAATATAAAATTAAGTGTAAATATAAAGCAGTATATACAGTTTAAATATAGGTATAAAATATAAATAAAATATATAATAGATACATAGACACAGAGATATTAAAAAAAGATAAATACTAAATCTAGAGAATAAATGAAGAAATGTTTCAAATTTATCATGATTAAAAGAGACACTTCTGAAATTACCTTTTGAAATCTGAATTTATTCTTTCAAATGAGATGAAATATAGGGAAAGCTTTTGATAACAGAAAGACTGTACAAAAAATATTAAGTTAACACAAATGACATTCAAGAATTATGCAAATGAAAACATCTAGGATCTAGTTGTAAAATGTACTTGGAGAGGTGAACTGCTAATTACAGCTTGGATTAAATCTCTGACACCTTGAAGAAATAAATAAATTCATTATTTTTTAAAAAAGAGAATGAAAAATAGTTCTGAGAATTTCCATGTAGACTACTGAAAATCTCAAGGCAAATCATTTATTTGAAACTGCCTACAACATGTGGGGAATGTTTGATTTGGTTTTGTTTTAATCCCATTTGAAACATCAATAGCTTCTGTGATGCCTCTTTAAAGTGGCCCTATTGCTCCCAGCCGCAAAATGCAGATCTAGAACCCTGGAAACGGCATCTGGACAGATAGCATCTATTGCCCACTGTTCCTCACTACTTTTTAATACTGCACTGATGTTTTGCCAAGGAAGCATGACTCTGGTTTCATCTGGCTAATGGCTTTGCGTGCATTTTTCTTTTGCCTATTTCAGTGTCATCTCCATGAAGGCACCACAGTACTTTTTCAGTGAGCCAGGCCCAACAGATTATGGACATTAAGGCTGGGCTGACTCAGCCTTTGGGCTAAATTTAGAAAAATAAAAATAAATAGAAGCAGAAATGAGTTAAGTGGAATTAAATGTAGGTACAGATGAGGAACTGACTAGTGCAATGGAGTTTTCCAGGTTCAGTTTTGGTGAATCTAGGAAAGGATCGTCGAGGTGGCTTCTTTCACTCCAGTTTCTCCATAATTGTGTTAATATCAGGAAGAAGATTGTCAGTCTACTACTGATTCCAATGTTAATCTCATCCAGAAATACCCTCACAGACATACCCAGAATAATGTTTGGCCAAATGTCTGGACACCCCATGGCCCAGTCAAATAGCCACATCAAATTAACAATCACAAGTGCTTAGTACAGTATCTGGCACCTACAAAAATTCAATGAATGCTAGCTCAGGACTCTTTCAGACTACTTCTAGAGCTTATTAATCTCTTTCTTTCTCTGAACTTCTACAGTGGTTTAGTGGTAGTACTATAAAGGAATGACTTTATATAGCACTTACATTATTGTAATGCATTTTATTGATTGTTTATGTACATTATGTTTTCCCAAAGAGACTAGGGAGGTAAAAAGAGAATCACTGGCATCTTCAGCTGCTGAATAGTAAGGAGAACCATGGCTTTTCCCTTCCTCTTCATGAGAGAAAGGAGAGGGGTTCTTCTCCCACACCACACCAAAGAGAGATGCTCTGAATAAACTATTTCTAAAGATTTTGTTTTGCCCCTTAGAAAGGAAGATGGGCATCTCATGGGGCATGTAGTTGGGCAGCATCTGGTCTACAAAACCTATTGGCCCACTTTGTGCTAGCTATTACAGCTAACTGGAGCTTGAATGAGGGAGCAGGGGAAGGAAGTTCTTGGGAGAGCTTGAGATGTAGCTGCAGAGTTACTGAAAGTAACTCTGTCTTATGTCTCAGGACATAAAGTATAATGCCTGCTTCTCACGTGGAGATCATTATCAATGACAGGAACTTGTGGTGGGTTGGGGAGAGGAGCCAGGCAGGAAGGGACTGTGGTGTTGCATGCTGGTAAGAAGATGTGGGCAATCTTCACCGTATCTCAGTGCTCTGAGACTCTTAGAGGGCATACAAAAGGGCTTCAGCAATTTCCACGCATGAAGAAGCACAAAGGATAGAAAAGGAAGCAAACCCAGTAGCTACTTCAGGCTATATGATGCCCAACCCAGAAATGGGGCTGAGGACAAAGGGAGACTTGGCTGCTGCTCTCCACAAGGTCCTCGGTGGGGCAGAGGCAAAACTATGCTGGACATCACCCCAAGAAACAATGCATCACCATCCTAAGGGAAATCACCTTGAAATAGGCCATCAGCTGCATACCCAGCCAGAGGAAGACTGGGGCATGTTCCTCCACCAACAGACAGTCATTTCTATTTCCATTTCTCCTATTTCCTCACTATTTATATAAAACAAAGGATTACAACCTGGAAGGAGAGGAAAGAAACGTTCCCATAAAAGACAACGAATTTCCAGGCTAGGAGCAGTGGCTCACGCCTGTAATCCCAACACTTTGGGAGGCCGAGGCGGGTGGATTACGAGGTCAGGAGATCAAGACCATCCTGGCTAACATGGTGAAACCCCGTCTCTACTAAAACTACAAAAAATTAGCCGGGCGAGGTCGCGGGCACCTGTAGTCCCAGCTACTCGGGAGGCTGAGGCAGGAGAATGGCATGAACCCGGGAGGCGGAGCTTGCAGTGAGCCGAGATCGCGCCACTGCCCTCCAGCCTGGGCGACAGAGCGAGACTCTATTTCAAAAAAAAAAAAAAAAAAAAAAAAGACAATGAATTTCCTTTCTTACATGGGAGAAGAATTAATAATGCTGCCCACACTGCTTCTCTCCCTGAAATTTCCAAGTTTCCAAGTCAGGAGGTAAGAAGATCTCTAAAAGGTCTAAATTAAAACTAATTTAAACTGGAGATTTAAAGTGGACCAATCTGAGTGCAGTGGAGCGTGTGATCAAAGCTTACTGCCTGCTCGACCTGCCGGGCTTAGGTGTGCCTCCTGCCTCAGCCTCTCAAGTAATGGGGACTACAGATATGTGCTACCACACCTGGCTATTTTTTTTTTGTCAGTAGAGATGGGGTCTCATTATATCCCCCAAGCTGGTCTTAAACTCCTGGGCTCAAGGGATCCTCCTGCATCAGCCTCCCAAAGCACTGGGATTACAGTCATGCGTCATAACACCCAGTCTGATTTTTTTTTAGGTAACAAAGTATAGAAAGATATCACTAGTTACCACCAATATTGAGTTCTTTCTTTCTGAGCACATACAAAAAAAAAAAAAAAAAAAAAACCTTACATTTCTCATCCTTCTTGGAGTTAGGCAGAGCTGTGTTTTATTTGTGAATCAATGGACTGTGAGCAAAAGCGACAAGTGATATTTTCATCTGAGAAAGTAAAAATCCTGCAGGGTTTTCTTTTCCTGCTGTGGCCCCCTGAAAATATACATATTAGATTAAACTGAGTCATGAGATGTAAGCAGGCTGGATCTCTGAGTCACCTCTTGGAAGGGAGGTGTCCTGGAGTTCTGCTGGGCCCATAGCAGATTTTCTATGAGTCATAAACCTTTGTGAAATCACTGGGATTCCTAGCTAATTTATAATGACAGGATAGTTTAAGCTATTCTGACTCATGTAGGAATTGAAACTGGAAGTAGAGGGCTGTCATAACACAAACCTAAAATGTTTGGTGGAGACTTGTCAGTTAGGTGGTGAACAACTGGCTAATGTGTATCCGAGTCTGGAAAAACAGTGACGCATATATTACAGGAGCAAAATATTTCTTAAAACAGTTGTCAATGGAACCTTGGGACATGTATTAGATTTTGATTATTACTCCAATGAATTACTACAAATTTAGGCTGAAAGCAACACAAACTTATTATCTTAAAGATCTGTAGTGCAGGAGTCCTATGTGAGTCTCACCAGGCTGAAATCAAGGTGTCAGCAGGCCGCATTTCTTTCTTCAGGCTCCAAGGGAGAATCTGGGTTTTTGCAGTCGGGTTGTTGGCAGAATCAGTTCCTTGCAGTTGTAGCATTGAGATTTACATTTCCTTGCTGACTGTAAACTGAGGGCTGTTCCAGCCTCTAGAGGCTATCTCACATTCCTTGACTTGTTATCCCCTTCCTCCACCACCAAAGCCAGCAAGGGCAGATACAGGCATACCTTGTTTTACTTGTTTCACTTTATTGCACTTTGCAGATATTGCTTTTTTTTTTAATAAATTGAAAATTTATGACAACCCTGCATCAAGCACATCTGTTGGCTCCACTTTTGCAATAGTGTGTTCTCGCTCTGTGTCTCGTTGTCACATTTTAGCAATTCTCACAATATTTCAAACTCTTTCATTATTATCAGGATGATCTGTGATCAGTGATCTGTGATGTTACTATTGTAATTGTTTTGAGGTGCCACAAACTGCGCCAATATAAAGTGATGAATGTTGTGTGTGTTCTGACTGCTTTACCAACTGCCCATTCCCCATCTATCTTCCTTCCCTCTGGCCCCCCTATTCCCTGAGACAACAATATTGAGATTGGACCAATTACTAATCTAACAATGGCCTCTAAGTGTTCAAGGTGAAGGGAAGGGTCACATGTCTGTCACATTTGATATAAAACTAGAAATGATGAAGCTGAGTGAGGTAGGCATGTCAAAAGCAGAGATAGGCTGAAAGTGAGGCCTCTTGCACCAAACAGTTAGCTAAGTTGTGAATGCAAAGGAAAAATTTTTGAAAGAAATTAAAAGTGCTATTCCAGCGAACACACAAATGTTAAGAAACCAAAACAGCCTTATTGCTGATAGGGAGAAAGTTTGTGTGGTCTGGACAGAAGATCAAACCAGCCCAAATATTCCCCTTAAGCCAAAACCTAACCCAGAGCAAGGCCCTAATTCTCTTCATCCTATGACAGAGAGGTGAAGAAGCTGCAAAATTTGAAGTTAATGCAGCAGGTGACATTAAGTTGAAGCCAATGTTTATTTACCATTTCAAAAATCCTAGGGCTAGGCCAGGCGTGGTGGCTCACTGCTGTAATCCCGGCACTTTGGGAAGCCGAAGTGGGTGGATCATCTGCGGTCAGGAGTTCGAGACTAGCCTGGCCAACATGGCAAAACCCCATCTCTACTAAAAATACAAAAATTAGCTGGGTGTGCCTGTAGTCTCAGCTACTCAGGAGGCTGAGGCAGAAGAATTGCTTGAACATGGAAGGCAGAGGTTGCAGTGAGCCGAAATCACACCACTGCACTCCAGCCTGGGTGACAGAGCAAGACTCTGTCTCAGAACAAAACAAAACAAAATACTAGGGCTTTTAAGAATTATGGACCAGGTGCAGTGGCTCATGCCTGTAATCCCATCACTCTGGGAGGTCGAGGCAGGCAGATCATGAGGTCAGGAGATTGAGACCATCCTGGCCAACATGGTGAAACCCCATCTCTACTAAAAATACAAAAAATTAGCCGGGTGTGGTGGCGGGTGCCTGTAGTCCCCAGCTACTCGGGAGGCTGAGGCATAAGAATGGCATTAACCTGGGAGGCGGAGCTTGCAGTGAGCCAAGATCACACCACTGCACTCCAGCCTGGGCAACAGAGCGAGACTCCATCTCAAAAAAAAAAAAAAGAATTATGTTAAATCTCTCCCTGTGCTCTGTAAATGAAACAACAAAGCCTAGACAAACAGCACATCTGTTCACAGCATGGTGTACTGAATATTTTGAGCCCACTGTTGAGACCCACTGTTTAGAAAAAAAGATTCCTCTCAAAATATTGCTACTCATTGACAGTGCACCTGGTCACCCAAGAGCTCTGATGGGGATGTACAAAGAGATTAATATTGTTTTCATGCCTGTTAATGCAACATCTAATCTGCAGCCCAGGGATCAAGGAGTCATTTCAACTTTCATGTCTTATTATTTAAGAAATACATTTTGTAAGGCTACAGCTGCCATAATTAGTGATTCCTCTGATGAATATGGGTAAAGTAAATTGAAAACCTTTTGAAAAGGATTTGCCATTCTAGATGCCATTAAGAACATCTGTGATTCATGGGAAGAGGTAAAAATATCAACATTCACAGGAGTTTGGAAGAAGTTCATTCCGACCTTTATGAATGACTGAGGGTTTAAGACTTCATTGGAAGAAGTCCCTGCAGATCTGATGGAAACAGCAAGAAAGCTGGAATTAGAAGTGGTTCCCAAAGATATGACTGAATTGCTGCAATCTCATGATGAAACTTGAACAGATAAGCAGTTGCTTCTTACGGATGAGCACAAAAAGTATTTCCTTGAGATGAAATCTACTGCAGATGAAGATGCTGTGAACATTGTTGGAATGACAACAAAGGATTTAGAATATTCCATAAAGTCAGTTGATAAAGCAGTGGCAGGGTTGAGAGGATTGACTGCAGTTTTTTTTTTTTAATTTAATTTTAAGTTCTGGGATACATATGCAGGATATGCAGGATTTGCATATCCTACGGCTTTTAAGGGCTTTTAAGAATTATGGACCAGGCACGGTGGCTCACACATGTAATCCCATCACTCTGGGAGGTCGAGGCCGGCAGATCACGAGGTCAAGAGATTGAGACCATCCTGGCCAACACAGTGAAACCCCGTCTCTACTAAAAATACGAAAAATTAGCTGGATGTGGTGGCGGGTGCCTGTAGTCCCAGCTACTCGGGAGGCTGAGGCAGGAGAATGGCTTTAACCTGGGAAGTGGAGCTTGCAGTGAGCCAAGATCACACCACTGCACTCCAGCCTGGGCAACAGAGCGAGACTCCATCTCAAAAAAAAAAAAAAGAATTATGTTAAATCTCTCCCTGTGCTCTGTAAGTGAAACAACAAAGCCTAGACAACAGCACATCTGTTCACACGGGCTGCACGGGATACACGTGCAGGATTTGCTACGTAGGTAAATGTGTGCAGTAATAGTTTGCTGCACTATCAACCTATCCATTAACTGTGTATCCTGATGCTCTCCCTCCCACTGGCCCCTTGACAGGCCCCAGTGCATGTTGTTTCTCTCCCTGTGTCAATGTGTTTTCATTGTTCAGCTCCTACTTATAAGTGGAAACATGTGGTGTTTGGTTTTCTGCTTCTGTGTTAGTTTGCTGAGAATTATGGCTTCCAGCTCCATCCATGCCTCTGCAAAGGACACGACCTCATTCCTTTTTATGGCTGCATAGTATTCCATGGTGTATATGTACCACATTTTCTTTATCCAATCTATCATTGATGGGCATTTGGGTTGATTCCATGTCTTTGCTATTGTGGAATGGTGCTGCAGTGAACATATGTGTGCATGTGTCTATAATAGAATGATTTATGTTCCTTTGGGTATACACTCAGTAATGAGATTTCAGGGTCAAATGATATATCTTGTTCTAGATACTTGAAGAATTGCCATACTGTCTTCCACAATGGTTGAACTAATTTACATTCCCACCAACAGTGTAAAAGCATTCCTATTTCTCCACAGCCTCACCAGCATCTGTTGTTCCTTGACTTTTTAATAATTGCCATTCTGACTGATGATTATGAAAATCTCATTGTGGTTTTGATTTGCATTTCTCTAATGATCAGTGATGTTGAGCTTTTTTCATATGTTTGTTGGCCACATAAATGTCTTCTTTTGAGAAGTGTCTGTTCATGTCCTTTGCCCACTTTTTAATGGGGTTGTTTGTTTTTTTCTTGTAAATTTGTTTAAGTTCCTTGTAGATGCTGGATATTAGACCTTTGGATTGACTCCAATTCTTACAGGAAGTTCTACTGTGGGTAAAATGCTAACAAGTAGCGTTGCCTCCTCACATAAAACATTTGTGAGGGAAGAATCAATCAATGAGGCAGATTTCATTGTTGTATTTTGTTTTAAAATTGCCACAGCCACCACAGCCTTCCTTCAGCAACTACCAACCTGATCAATCAGCAGCCATCCACATTGAGGCAAGACTCTCCACCAGCAAAAAGATTATGGGTCTCAGAAGATTCCAATAATCATTAGTATTTTTACCAATAAAGTATTTTTAATTAAAGTATGTACATTTTTTCAGACATAATTCTTTTGTGAACTTAATAGACTACAGTGTTGTGTACAAATTTTATATGCACTGAGAAATTTAAAAATTTGCGTGACTCAATTTATTGTGATATTTGTTTTATTGTGGTGGTCTAGAGCAGGGGTCCCCAACCCCAGGAGCCACCAACTGATATCTTAGGAACTGTTAGGAACCAGGCTGCACAGCAGGCGGTGAGCTGCAGGCAAAGGAGCATTACTGCCTGAGCTCCACCTCTTGTCAGATCAGCCGTGGCATTAGATTCTCACAGGAGTGCGAACCCTATTGTGAGCTACTCATGGGAGGGATCTAGGTTGTGCACTCCTTATGAGAATCTAATGTCTGATGATCTGTCACTGTCTCCCATTACCCCCCAGATGGGACTGTCTAGTTGTAGGAAAACAAGTTCAGGGCTCCCACTGATTCTATATTAAGGTGAGTTGCATAATTATTTCATTATATATTACAGTGTAATAATAATAGAAATAAAGTACAAAATAAATGTTATGTGCTTGAATCATCCCAAAACCATCCCAGCTCTTCCACTGCCTGGGTCTGAGGAAAAACTGTCTTCCACGAAACCGGTCTCTGGTGCCAAAAAAGTTGGGGACTGCCGGTCTAGAGTCAAATCCACAATATCTTTGAGGCGTGCCTGTGTATTCTTTTTATGTTGTTTTCTCTGACTTACCCTTTCTGTGTGGAATCCCTCTGACTTTTACGCCTCTGCTCTTAAATAACTCATGCCATTAGATTGGGACCACCTAGATAATTTCCCTATTTTAAGGTTAGCTGATCAGCCACCTTAATCTGTCCACAGCCTTAATTCCCCCCCTCCCCGCCCTGCCACCTTTTTTTTTTTTTTTTTTTTTTTGAGTCGGAGTCTCGCTCTGTTGCCCAAGCTGGAGTGCAGTAGTGCAATCTTGGCTCACTGCAACATCCGCCTCCCAGGTTGAAGTGATTCTCCTGCCTCAGCCTCCCAAGCAGCTGGGACTACAGGTGTGCACCACCATGCCCAGCTAATTTTCTTTTGTATTTTTAGTAGAGGCAGGGGTCTTGCCATGTTGGCCAGGATGGTCTCGAACTCCTGACCTCAGACTATCCACCCGCCCCTTCCTCCAAAACTGCTGGGATTACAGGTGTGAGCCACCGTGCCTGGCCTTAATTCCCTTTTGCCATGTAAAATAACATATTCACAGGTTCCAGGGATTAGGATGGGAATATCTTTCACAGCCATTTTCTGTATAACACAGGAGTCGTATGAGCCTAATAAACTGGTAGCTCTTGGAGAAGAGGATGAAAACTTCAGGAGTTGATTGCAGTTGGCTGCATTTGGCGCAGGTGCTACAAGAAAGCAATGAGCTCAAGAAACAATTGCCAACTTGCAAGTAAAAATGAGAGGAAACGGAGATTCTAGAAATTCAGGACCTCGTAATTTTGGTAAAGCCCTCTGCTTCCAGTTCCTAAAGAAAGAGATGGAATTAAAAAAAATAAAAGATTGATGTAACAAAATAGCAGGATAAACTTTCAGTTGATTAAAAGACATCAAGGCAAACAGACTAAGGGTATGTTTTTTGTTTTTTTTTCAGATGAAGTTTCACTCTGTCACCCAGGCTGGAGTGCAGTGGCGCGATGATCTTGGCTCACTGCAACCTCCACCTCCAGGGTTGAAGCAACTCTCATGTCTCAGTCTCCTGAGTAGGTAAGATTACAGATGCATGCTACCTCACCCAGCTAATTTTTGTATTTTTAGTAGAGACAAGGTTTCACCATGTTGTGCAGGATGGTCTTGAATTCCTGACCTCAGGTGATCCACCCACCTCGGCCTCCCAAAGTGCTGGGATTACAGGCGTGAGCCACCACACCCGGCCTAGAGGTATGGTTTTGAGTAAAACTTTTCAGTGCCTAGGGGTATGGTTTTGAGTAAAACTGTTCAGTTGGATAAAATGACTCAAGGCAAAGATAAGAGTAAGTGGGTAGCCTTCTTACTGAACCCCCATACCCATAAGGTAAGCCCCATTAAGTTGAAAATGAGACATGGCATCTGAGTCAGTGAAGCAAATAGGGCTTCAGAATAATAACCAAGACCTTGATTTTGGTCATTGGTCACATGGAACGGATTGCAGGCAATTAGGTCATAAGCCTGCTAGGTTTGGGGGAAGAATTGCTAAGATCAGATAAACCTGTGACTATTTCAGGTATAAAGCAACCTGAGGAGAGTCTTTTCCCAAATGTCAATTTCAAATGTGGCTGAAAAGGATGATGGAATAGGAAGAAGCTTCAGAGGTCAGAGTTCACAGATCCCATGGACAGGTTGCTGATCAAGAAATGTTTCCCACCCAGGGAATGGCCAGGACTAGGGCAAGTGAGGCATTTGCCCGAGACACAAAATTTACAGAGCTGCCAAAACACTCAGTAATCAAAATGACTAATGCTTTAATGCAATATAGCAGTCCCCCCTACAAGACCTCCAATGAATACCTGAAACTGCAGATAGTACTGAACCCTATATATGCTATGATTTTATTCTAGACATACATACTTATGAAAAAGTTTAATTTATAAATTAGGCACAGATTGTTGTTAAGAAATTAACAACAACAATAATAAAATAGAACAACTGTAAAAATATACTGCCATAGATGTTATGTGAATGTGGTCTCTTCCTGTCCCTCTGTCTCTTTCTCTCTCCAAAATAATGTAATATTTTCAAACTGTGGTTGACCAAGGGTAACTGAAACCGAGGAAAGTGAAATTGCTGATAAAAGGGGACTGCTGTAATTAAAAAATAAAAATGAATGCAGAGAAACCCATGATAAATGAAATGAAATTTAAATAAACAGAATTTATTTATTTATTTATTTTTTTTTTTGAGACGGACTCTCACTCTGTCACCCAGGCTGGAGCGCAGTGGTAAGATCTCAGCTCACTGTAACCTCCGCCTCCTGGGTTTAAGCGATTCTCCTACCTCAGCCTCCTGAGCAGCTGGAATTACAGGTGCCCACCACCACGCCTGACTAATTTTTGTATTTTTAGTAGAAGCGGGGTTTCGCCATGTTGGCCAGGCTGGTCTCGAACTCCGGACCTCAGGTGATCTGCCCGCCTTGGCCTCCCAAAGTGCTGGAATTACAGGTGTGAGCCACTGCACCTGGCCAGACAGCATTTATTCTTGAAAAAAAGAAACAAGTTTGAGCAAGGTGATGACCAGTGGGGCCCAAACTAATACTTCATGTTGATACAATTGAGAAGCAAATGGAAAAAGACTAACTTTTCCAGTTTCTTATTGCTTTTCATTTTACAGATAATGATTACTTAAGATTCACTAATTAGCTCTTAACCCCACACCTACCGTCATCATCAAATTTCAATGCATAGGTGTAACTCACTTAGTGATATATTCCTGACATTTTATGAAATTTGAATTTCTTTTTTACTGTCAAATCATATCTTTTCTTTAGAGCTGTTTTATCTTCTGCCTTATTCATCTTCAAGTGGCAGCGTCTTTTAAGCTACTAAATTTCTCTGTTCCCAGGTTGATCTGCTAAGGAGTTAAGGATCTAAATACACATTTAATTGTGAGAGGAATTAAAAGCTCAGGACCTCAATTCACTATGCCAACAGGAAAAAATTAAACGGAAAGCTGAGTCATGCAAGAACCTGCCTTTCCTTTTGTTCTTAAGCAGTTAGCTACAGGTAAAATATCTCCATAGGTAGCGACTCTGTTCACCTTATCTTACGTAAAGTGCCCATTCACTGAGCACAAGGCAAATGCATAATTGATGATACCTCCACCGGCTGCTTTTCTCTTGAAATATGTGGATGATGCTACCTTCCCTCTTTCCCTTCCAGCCCACTTTTCCCTTTTATATATTGAAGCCCTCAAAGTCATCTTTGGAAAAAGGCACGGACCCTAGACAGTTTCTGGGTTTCCCTGATTTGTTGTTGTTGTTGTTGTCGTTTGTTTTTCTCTCAGACATTGTCCTTAACCTTGGCAAAATAAACTTCTAAATTGATTGAGACCTATCGGAGATAATTCTTGGGTTACAAAATATACTAACATAGTTTATTTAAATTTTTTAAAAATATTTATTTCAATAGTTTTGGGAGGTAAAGGTGGTTTTTGGTTATGTGGATAAGTTCTTCATTGGTAATTTCTGAGATTTTAGTACACCTGTTACCCAAGCAGTGTACACTGTACCCAGGATGTAGTCTTTTATCCCTCACCCCACTCCCAGCCTTTCCCCCACCCTGAGTCTCCAAAGTCCATTGCATCATTCTTATGCCTTTGTATCCTCCTAGCTTAGCCCTCACTGATAAGTGAGAACATACCATATTTGGTTTTCCATTCCTGAGTTACTTCATTTAGAATAATGGCCTCCAGATTCCATCCAAGTTGCTGCAAAAGACATTATTTTGTTCCTTTTTATGAGTAGTATTGAGTAGTATTCCATGGTGTGTATGTACCAAATTTTCTTTATCCACTCCTTGGTTGATGGGCACTTAGGTTGGTTCCATATCTTTGCAATTGCAAATCGTGCTGCTATAAATACGTATGTACGTGTGTTTTTTCCATATAATGACTTCTTTTCCTTTGAGTAGATACCCAGTAGTGGGATTGCTGGATGGAATGGTAGTTCAGCTTTTAGATCTTTAAGGAATCTCCACACTGTTTTCCATAGTGGTTGTACCGCTATGGAAACCTAAATTGCATTCCCACCAGCAGCGTAAAAGTGTAGGGGAGCTCATTTTTAATCATGATGTCATAGAATCACTGATCATTAATTTATTATTATCATTCGGTTTTCATTTTGTATACCCACAAGCTTCTTAAGAACTTCCTTGTTCTTAGAAGCCTAGGAATAGTAAAATTGTTAACGGTTCCTGCACATTTGGGCAGCTGGCCATTCAACCTTCCAAAGTGACTCCTTTTAAAAAGTTATTCCTCTGAATACAAGAAGAAAACAGCCGAAGGAGAGGTCTGATTTATCCCAAATACACTTTTCTGACAGTTTGTAGCTTTTGAAGATCTATAATCCACCTAGGAGGCCTCAATGGGAAAAAAATGTTATGGTCTCAAAAAAGGTCAGGAACAGCTAATTTACAGAAGAAATAAGAGAAAAATGTCCAGCTTCACTTATGGTAATTAATAAATATAAAAATCTAAAACAATATAATATCTTTCAATGACTGAATTAGCAAAGGCCTCCTTAAATGACCACACTTACAGCAGATGAAACAAACACTGTAGCCTGGCTAAGGGAAGTGTAAATATTCCTGGAAATTATTTGTAATACTTATATACTCTGTCACTATAAATTCACTTAGAGTAGACTCTTCAAAATATATAATTCATTTCAGGGACAATTACTTATATACTGAAATATTCATTTCAGTGAAAGATGAATTCTGAAAAATAAATTGAAATGAACCTAAATGTCCAACTATAGGCGCATGGTTACATGCATTATGGAGCAGTCCAGATTCTTTGAAAAAGTTGGGGTTTTGGTGTCTTTGACCTAGATTCTTCTCCCAGCTGTAAAATCTTGGGCAAATCAATTATTCTCTCTGAATATCAGTGCTCTCATCTCAAAAGTGGGGACAATAATATTTAAGATTCATGGATGTTGTATGACAAAGGCTTCTTATAAAAAAAAAATCTCTCTCCACTTTTGGATTTCTCTAAGCAGGCATCTAGAGGTATCCTGTCCAGTGTAGAAGTCACTAGCTATAGATGACTATTTAAATTAAATGTATTAGAAATAAATACAACTTGAGCTTTAGTTCTTTAGTCATACTAGTCATATTTCAAGCGCTCAGGAGCCACATGGTGATAATGGCTACCTCCCTCAGTTCTTCCATGTAGCCCAAGACCACATAGTTTTGTTTTACTGACTCACTTGCCTGGGTCTAAATCCAGCTCAGGCCTTTCTAGCCTGATGACTTGGGGTAAACACATAAATTCTTGGAGCCTCATTTACCCATCTGCAACAGGGAGATAATGAAAATAACTAGCTTGTGGATTGTTTTGAGAATGAGAAATAAAGTGGTTCACACTCATTTCCAGCAGACTGCCATCTTGCTACTGAATTGGCTTCCCAATGATCCTGATACTAGGAGAAGGTGCACTGACAATGTATAAAATAATATTATGCAAGCTAGAAAGGTCTCTCATCATACTCTTGTGAGCTTGAGAGCTATGAGTCAATCCTTTGAGGCTGATCTATTTGCATGTGCCAGCAAAACTGAGTTTCTGAAAATGCACACTTAGGACCATACCCACTGTCATATCACAGCAGAGAGATCAGTCTCCTTAGAGAAATCTACTTTCTTGGGTTGCTTTAGCTACAGCCTACACAATAGTCAGACAGTTTTGTGATTCATTTATATCTATCATCCTATGCATCTTCCCTATGCAGACCGATTTTCATTTTAAGGGCACATTTATATTTACCATTAATCCTTTTGCTTTGCATCACTCCATATAGAAATAATGCAGTAAGAGTTAAATTTCAAATAAGACAAAGCATAACAAAACAAAACCTTTACCCATCAAGGTCAAAAGAAGCATCTGGAACAATTATCCACACTGAACGCCTTACAAAAAGCCATGAACCCAAATTTCCTCTTTTGTTTCCTTTCCCTGTCTCTGTAGCCATTTTTTAATTATTATCTGATAATCATGGTTTCTCTATTTTCCCCCTACCTCCATCAAGGATTGCTTTAAGGGGGGAAAAAATCCAATAACCTCATTCACATTAAGATGTAAATTAGCAATTCCCTGCAAGGCTTAATAGGGTCTCTCCCACAGGGAATTTATATTTTAATGTGAACCAAAGGACCATATCTATAAAAGGATAATTTCAGGGATCAGAAATTTAAGTAAAGAAGGTCACCCAAGGAGGCTATAAGCATTTCTCCAGCCCACATGTATGCCAGACCTTGGGCAGTGGAGCACAGCAAGACCTGGGAGGAACAGTCAGAAACTGAGGACCAGGCTGAACATTGTGGATGCTCCTGGGTGAGCCACAGCAAAGTGGGAGGTGGAGCATGGTGGGGGAAGGCTTGGTGGCAGGTGGAAGTCAGGGGCCTAGCTCCTCCAAAGGTGAGTGTAGGGGAGGCCCAGCAAGAGGAAGCCACTGGGAGTCCTGGCAGACAGGAGAGGAATCTGGTAATAGCCAATGTGCAGACATCCAGACAAGCAGACAGCAGTGCCAGGAACCATGGACTCCACTGCGACTTTGAGGCTTAAGGCAGGCTTAGTTTTTCAGAGAACCAGGATAAGAAATTCCGAAATGGAGTCCCAGAGGTATGGGGGTAGCAGCCAGATAACCAGAGTGAAGAGTCTCATTGTCCTGTGACACCTGGGACACTAACGATCCATCCACCCAATTTCTTGGCTCCAGTACTTACTCAAAAGTAGGTTTTATCCAGCCTCAGTGGCTTAAAACAAATGGGCCATGGCTTTGACCCTGACAAACGCTTCTTGTTGTTGTTGTTGTTTTGTTTGTTTGTTTGTTTTGTTTTTGCTGCACTCCTGGCCTTACCTATTTTCCAGAACTGACCTCCACTCAGTACTCGGCTCTGGATTTTTTCCAATGTGCGATTATGGAGCATCTGGCTGCTTGCTCTTCTGTCTTTCTCATGCTTTGTAGCTTTGGTTCTTCTTGTCCTAGTCTCCCATTCCTGTTTCTCACCAGCCGACTTCCTTCTATCCTCTGCACTGGCTCTAGTTCCAGTTTCTTAAACTCACTTCCCTCGAAGTAATTTACGTTCTACACAGCTTAATCAAAAGATGCCTCTGATGGTGTCCAAACTATTCCCCTCCTCCCAAGCCAATCTTAGCCAACTGTGTCTCAATTACCATCAGTGGGAGCCCTGAAGAAACATCAAGTAGGAAGAATCTGGCCCATACATGTCAGTTAAATTATGCAAAGAGGAGTTCTCTTTAGTAGCCTGAGCCTTTCACCTCTTAGAAGATCATCAGCAGGGCCCAGAATCCACTGGTCCGATCAGCTCTTCTACTGTTTCAGGACCTATCCCAGATGTCACAAGTCTCCCTGGACCAAGCAATAAATTTGGGGAAGACTCTGAAGCTCAATTTGTATTTTCTCTTTTTTTGACTGTATTAGTCAAGTATTTTTTTTCATGGCAGTAATAGCTATATAACAAACAATTCCCAAGTCTCAGTGACTCAAAGGAAAATTTATGTTTCTGTTGAGATTCTTTTCCCGCAGCAGCTTCCTGGACCGTCAACTGTAGGTTAGCTGAGCCAGCTCTGCTTCAGGCTACAGATTGGATTTAGATCTTCTCCATATGCCTCTCATTCAAGGGCCCAGGATGAAGAAATAGAGACTACTTGGCACATGTTCTCCTCAAGGAAAATGGCAGAAATACAAGAGAGCAAGCAGAACTATACGAGCACATTCAAAACCTTTGGACAGCCAAGGTATAGATTATATCTTCTCACACTCCATTGACCAAAGCAAGACACATGGCCAAGCCCAAAGTCAGTAAGTTGTAGAATAGTATATTCTGTTAAAAGTGAATTTAACAGAATATAAAAGTATATTCTGTTAAAAGTGACCTCAGAGAAAAGATAGGGTTGTGAAAAAATAATACATTCCACAACATTGTCCTAAATAGTGGCACTAAAACAACAAAATAATAATAGGAGGAAAAGCTACACTTCATTAAATGCTTTCTTTGGGCTAGCCAATGGACTAAGCTCTCTATATGCATTATCTCATCCATCCTATTGACAATTTTCAAAAGCAAATATCTTTTTATTCCCCACGTGTTAGATGAGGAAACTTAGGAACAGATGGTAAAGTAAGCACTAACAACAGTAGCAGAAATAGTTAGGAGCTCATAGCCACTAAACACTGCATCAGTTTCAAGCCTTTTTTGCAACAAATAATAGAAAATTCAACTGAAGTTGCTTTAATGATGTCTTTCACTACTTATTGTGCAAGAAGCCTAGAGGAAGGAGATTACAGGTATGGTTCCCAGTGGTTCATTAGTATCTCTCAAGAATCCAAGGGCAGGCTGGGTGTGGTGGCTCACACCTGTAATCTCAGCACTTTGGGAGGCTGAGGAGGGCGGATCAACTGAGTCTGGGAGTTCAAGGCCAGCCTGACCAACATGGAGAAACCCCGTCTCTACTAAAAATACAAAAATTAGCCAGGCATGGTGGTGCATGCCTGTAATCCCAGCTACTTGGGAGGCTGAAGCAGGAGAATTGCTTGAACCCGGGAGGTGGAGGTTGAGGTGAGCCAAGATCACGCCACTGCACTCCAGCCTGGGCAACATAAGCAAAACTCTGTCTAAAAAAAAAAAAAAAAAATGGCTGTTATACCAAAAAAAAAAAAAAAAAAAAAAAAGAATCCAAGGGCTTCTTTGTTTCTGTTCTGTCATAATGGTTGTGTTGCACCTTCATAGCACCAAGATGGCAATCCTATGCAGATGACAACTTCCAAAATATTCCCATGATGCATCCCTCTATTAAAGTCCTCACAAGACACTTCCCATCATATCCCATTGGCCAAAATTACATCACATACTAATGTCTAAACCAATCACTTGACAAGAGATAAAACAACTCTGATTGGCTTACACAAATTATGATTTCTCCCTCTGTGTTTAGGAGAAACCTGGACTTTTTAACAGGCTGTTCCTCTGAAGCAGGTAAATAACATTGGCATTCAGTTAATGAGGAAGAGAGAAAAGAAAGGCTGTTGGATTGGCAACCAAAATGTCTTCACCCTCTCTTACTATGCGCCGTTGTCCACTATGGTGAGCGTCCTGCCTGTATTGACTCATCCAATACTCTCAATGGCCCTGTGATTTTAAAGGCTCACAATTTTCTATTTCATTCTGAAAAATGAGGTAAATTTTGCAAGATCACTCAACTAATAAATGGCAGAGCCAAAATTTGAACCTTGAATCAAAATTAGTTTCCAAAGCTGGAGTTCTTAACCAAAGTCTAGATATTTCTGCATTATATTGGTTGTAAGATATATATTGTCACATTTTAATAGCTATGAAATTAGAATGTACTAACAACAATGATGTCATAAAATCTCACCGCCCACATTTCTTTTCCCTTAAGGATACAGTAGTTCCTGCTTATCCACAGGGAATATGTTCCAGGACCCCTGAAAGTCATGGATAATACTGAATTCTGTATATAGTATGTTGTTTTCTAAACATACATAGCTATGATAAAGTTTAATTTGTAAATCAGGCACAGTAAGATTAAAAACAATAATTAGTAATAAAATATAACAATTATAACAATATGTCAGCCTCACTACTCTTGTGCTTTCAGGTCATTATTAAGTAAAATAAGAGTGACTTGAACAAAAGCACTGTGATACCTCCACAGTTGATGTGATAATTGAGACGGCTTCTAAGTGACCAATGGGCAGGTAGCATGTACAGTATGGATACACTGGACAAAGGAATGATTCATGTCTTGGGCATGATGGAGTAGGATAGGCAGAAATTTCATCACACTACTCAAAATGGTGTGAAATTTAAAACTTATACATTTTTATTTCTGGAAATTTTCCTTTAATATTTTTGGATCATGGTTTAACATAGGTAACTGAAACTGAAATCATGAATAAGAGGGCTACTGTACATAAAATAATGTAATGATGTAACTTATAATCAAAGGCATGGCTGTGAAGAAATATACTTCCAAGTCAAGATAGGATTTTAAAAAGTGGGCCGGGTGTGGTGACTCATGCCTGTAATCCCAGCACTTTGGGAGGCCAAGGCAGGCAGATCACCTGAGGTTGGGAGTTCAAGACCAGCCTGACCAAAATGGTGAAACCCCGTCTCTACTAAAAATACAAAATTAGCCAGGTGTGGTGGTGCACGCCTGTAATCCCAGCTACTTGGGAGGCTGAGGCAGGAGAATCGCTTAACTCGGGAGGCAGAGGTTGCAGTGAGCTGAGATTGCACCATCACACTCCAGCCTGGGTAACAAGAGTGAAACTCTGTCTCAAAAAAAAAAAAAAAAAAGATGCCAAATTGCCCAGCCCATGTGTCCAAAATGCCAGTTCCCTGATTAATCACTACTAGGAATATGCGGGAGGGACCTCTTGCCCCTGCTTGTTGGGAAAAGGGGAAGTTCAGACACAAGTAGAAGTTATACACACTAATGACATATTCTTTTTATGAGTTACAACACAGAATGACATCCTCTTATGGAGAGTGGTCTCCCACCTTGTATTGACCTTGAAAACTCATGGAAAAATAAGATAGGGAGCCATGCCAGTACCTCTTGTCTCCAGCTGGCCCCACCTGCCTTGAGATCATAGCGCCTTTTATCTAGAACCTTACCCTGACTGGGACCTTAGTGCATTATGACTATATAATAAGTACACCAGCAGCTATACCTACCACCACCACATTCCTACTATCTGATTGGCCCAGGAAAAGACCTGCCTCCCCTCTTCCCATACAATCAAAGCCTTCTCTGTTTATGAATATATTGTTACACTCATGCAAATCTGGGCTTCCCTTCAATTTACCCCTTTCCCTGTCCCCTTTGCTTCCACAATCTCCATAGTCACTTGGGGTGAATTAATCTCTCCTCATCCTTCTGTTCTGCTCTAGGCTGTTGTGCCAGCCCTGCTGTGCACCAGGGGGATTTGCTTATTTATTTATTTATTTTTATTTTTATTTTTAGAGACAGTGTCTCACTCTGATGTCCAGGCTGGAGTGCAGTGGCGTGATCTGCAGCCTCAAACTCCTGGGCTCAAGTGGTCCTCCTGCTTCAGCCTCCCAAGTAGCTAGCTGGGACTATAGGTATGTGTCACCACGTCTGGCTGATTTTGAAATTTTTTGTAGAGACAGCATCTCGCTATGTTTCCCAGGCTGGTCTCCAACTACTGGCCTGAAGTAATTCTCCCCAGAGGGCTAGGATTACAGGCATGAGTCACCAAGCCCAGCCAAGCAGGGGGCATTTAAAGGGCTCTAAGGCTGTAGCTAAGATATCCTCACCAGTGCATTTATTGGTGTGCATCCTGAGGGGAAAATTTTGAAAAATGCTTTAGGGACACATGGATGAAAGATACACAAACTCTTCTCAAATAAGACAGGCTTGCAAAAGGCTAACTACTATAAAGCAGAACATTGTGAGGGTCAAAGCAGAATGCTTAAAATCTGGGGGTGTGTGGGAGATAGAGGTGAGTATTCAGGAGGGTTTTACAGAAACCTTTAAGCAGAGCCAAGTTTGTTTTTGTATTTTTTTTTTTTTTTTGAGACAACCTATGTCACACAGGCTGACATAATCATGGCTCACTGTAGCCTCAACCTCCCGAGCTCAACTGATCCTCCCACCTTAGCGTCCTGATTAGCTGGGACTACAGGTGCACACCACCATGCCTGGCTAATTTTTGTATTGTTTGTAGAGATGGGGTTTTGCCATGTTGGCCAGGCTGGTCTCAAACTCCTGGGCTCAAAGTGATCCACCCACCTCAGCCTCCCAAAGTGTTGGGATTACAGCCATGAGCCACCATGCCCAGCCGCCAAGTTCTTCAAAAGCATTTTTAGTAGGGATGTAAATGCTAAAACTGACTATTCTATACAGGAAAGGCTAGAGCTAACTCTAGCTAACTCTCACCATGAGAGATAGAATGCTGAGAGTAGTTTCAGTAGGAATAAAAATGAAAAGATGAATATAGAGTATGAAGGCGCTAATGATGATGCCTTAGCTAGGATTCTGTAGAGGCGAAATCTGAGATGTTCTCAGGAACAACTCAGATAGCACCAGAAAGAAACCAGATAGGATCACTTTCAGCTAAAGGGTAGCCTCAGCCTGTTCCTGCAGGGAGCTCTGGAGCAAGAGCAGCACCACAGAGCTGTCTTCCCTTAAAGCAAGGGGGCTGGGCTTTTAAAAATTCACCATATTGGCTACTAACTGGGGGCTCTTTGTAGGAGAAGCCACCATTTCCCAGGGCATTGTGGGTGAGGCGGCTCCCACAGCCAAGGACAGCTCTCCAGAGAAGGATACATCTATGAACTATGAACAGCCAACATTTACATCAACTGGGTGTCTGGGTGAGACACCAAAATTATCAATGGCAGAAAAATTTTTATAAGACTTAATGACACAGTAGATGGTGATTTCTTAAAATGGAGTTTCTTATGTTTCCATTTTCTGTTTTGATTTATCTGTACTTCAAATGCATGTGTTTTTAAACCATAAAGCAATGTACAAAAAGCAAAGTATGAGAAAGATTTACTGCTTCATACTGAAAGAAATCTCTCTTCCCTCTCTCTTTCTACTCTAGCAGAGATATAGAAGAATGTTTAGGAATTAATGCTAAGCTGCATCAGTAAAGAAGTCAAGCAGTTGACCAAGGTTATCTATGTCAGGACTCAACTCAAATTTGTTTGAGCATAGAGGGACCTTATTGGCTTGGGTCACTACAAAGGGTGAGTTTGGACCTAATGTATGAGATGGCTGATTCAGGACTCAAAATGAGGTGATCATTCTACCCAGCAATCCCATTACTGTGTATATACCCAAAGGAATATAAATTGTTCTGTTATAAAGACACATGCACGCATATGTTCATTGCAGCACTATTCACAATAGCAAAGACATGGAATCAACCTAAATGCCCATCAATGATAGACTGGACAAAGAAAATGTAGTACATATGCACCATAGAATATTATGCAGCCATAAAAAAGAACAAGATCATGTCCTTTGCAGGGACGTGGATGGAGCTAGAGGCCATTATCCTTAGCAAACTAACATAGGATCAGAAAACCAAATACCGCCACTTAGAAGTGGGAGGTAAATGATGAGAACACACAAACACGTAGAAAGAAACAACACACCCTGGGGCCTATCAGAGAGTACAAGGAAGGAAGAGGGAGAGGATCAGGAAAAATAACTAATCGGTATCGGTAATGAAATAATCTGTACCACGGATCCCCACGACACAAGTTTACCTATGTAACAAACCTGCACACGTACCCCTGAACTTAAATAAAAGTTAAAAAGAAAGAAAAATAAGCTTATCCTTAAAGGGCCTATGATCGTTACCTAAAAATTTGTTCAGGGGAAGAAACGTACTGACTTTCTCTATGTCTGAAAATATCCCGATATTTAATCACCTTAACCTAATGGTTGGTTGCCCCACTTTCTCTGTATGTTTTTGTGTTATTCTACCCACAAACATATACTCCCTGCTCTGGAGCAATGGTTCTTAGCATTAGTATGCATGAGACTCATCTGGAAGGCTTATAAATACACAAATTCCTGGGTACCACACCCTGAGTGTCTGATTCAATAGGTCTGGACTGTGGATTTTCATTTCTCTTTTTTTGTTTTCCTTTTCATTCCCATCACCCAGGCTGGTATGCAATGGTGCGATCTCGGCTCACTGCAACTTCCACCTCTCAGGCTCAAGTGATTCTCCTGCCTCAGCCTCCCAAGTACCTGGAACTACAGGTGTGTGCCACTGTACCTGGCTAATTTTCGTATTTGTTTAGTAGAGATGGAGGATCTCACTATGCTGTCCATGCTGGTCTCAAACTCTTGAGCTCAAGCAATCCACCCACCTTGGCCTCCCAAAGTGTTGGAGTTACAGGCTTGAGCCACCACACCCAGCCGGATTTTCATTTCTAACAGCTTTCCAGGTGATACAGATGCTGTTGGTCTGGGGACCTAATTGTGAGAACTACTGCTCTGGGAAAAGTGGATGGAAAAGTCAGCATTTTGGCCACTACAGATGGCGTTTAGCAAGATATTAGATGATCACAATAGGCTTAAACAAGAAATGGCTGGTTTTCAAGTCAATATGAAAGGAAATCAAAAGGATCCCTGTTATGGGGCTGGACTCTCACATAGTGGTAGACGAAACTGAAAGAACTTTGACAATGTTCCAGGAAATTTCCGTAATCGAACAGTTATTCAGCCAGATACAAAGATCAGATAAACCGCCTTGACCTTCTTACTACCTGAGTCTGTTCCATATGTCCTCAAAGTAGTTGCCCTTAGCTAAAAAGAAAGACGTTGGGCCTAGAATACAAACTAACAAAAAACAGATTTGAGAACTATGTTTAGGATCAGAACTATGTAATGACGTGAGTGTACTACATTTTTGAAGCGCTTGAATTGCCAAAGAAACTGTGAGCCAGGACTGAAAACGTTTGGATTGTTTGAACTTTAAAACAACTTCCAGTCTGTTTCCTTACCTAGAATGTAAGATACATGAAAAAAGGGACCTTGTTTGTCTTCTTAAACCACTGTACCCAATACCTAGATGGAGCTTCACACAGAATATATGCCTAATAAATGTGTTAAGAATGAATGAAACCAAAACACCACAATACAGCCATCAGAGATCTGAAATTTGCAGCTAGAATCTGGTTGCAAAAACTGTGTATCGCCCAAGGAAGATATAGTCTCCCCAGATATGGCCATAGAGGTTTATGGACAAGAAAGAGACTCCTTGAGTGCAGATCTAGGGCATGAGGAAAATGAAGAAGGAAGCTGCTTCTTGCTAGAATCAGGGTCTAGCAAGAAAGTCCCCACAACCCCAAGGGTACTCATGGGGAAAGCTGTTCACAATGTGTGTGTAGCAGGATTTCAAATTTGCTAGTTGTGCATCTCGCAGTATTCCCTTTTATGAATGGGAGGTTTCTTTGGTCTCTACTGGATCACTGTGTATTGTGTATTGTGAGGGTTTGCAGATAATTTATCTTTTTAAATTATAGGTCTTTGGACTATCATAAGCCACATGGGGGTGGGGTGGTCTCTCCCACCTCCTGTGATCTTGCAGTTGAGCTGAGCATAGTGACTGGGTAAGGCTTTGAGTTGTCTCCCTTGGGGAGGGAGCATGAGAAAAAGAACAAATGTTTGAAAACCAGAAGAGATGGCTAAATATTCAGCAATCCATTTCCTCTTTCATGTGGGCTATAGATGGCCTGTTTTCCCAGTCTCCTTTTAAGTTATGTGCAGTCACCTGAGTGAAATGTAGCCAATGAAAGGTTCACAAAAGTCAAGTGGCCCATTTTCAGGCCTTGTCCATACTGATTTCCCATGTGTGATTCTCCACACTCTTTCTTTGTGCACCATCTAAATGTCAACATCTGGGGCAACCTCCAAAGCCACCTGTCAGAAATGGCAGAGCCTCCATCAGCATGAGCCCCTGAATGACTGCATGGAGCTCCCACAGTCATAGACACTTAAACTGGACTTTGCATGAGAGCCAATAAATTTTTACAGTGTTAAGTTACTGAAATGTTGGGTTTATTTGTTATAGCAGCTGGCATTACTATAATTTATATATGTAGTGTTTTTATATATATAAACATGTACATAATATATGTGTTTGTGTATATTATATATATATATAAACTATATCTATCTATAGGTTTTTGCTCAGGGTTCCTGATTTATATTGAACTTTATCTCAAAAGCAAAGGTGGAGTTGGGGGTGATTGAGCTCTTGAGGATTTTAAACTGAGTATTACACCATCAGATTGGAGCTTTGGAAAAAACACTGTGGCGTGATTTAGAAGATGGATCGCATTTAGGCTGGCGTGGTTTTGGGAAGAGCAGTGAGTAGGTACCAGCAATGGTCCAGGAAAGACATATTGGTGGTGAGGTGGTGAGAAGTGGGATTAGATAACAATTTATCCTTCCCTTCAGCATCTTCTCTCCAGACACCCTCTGCAATGTTCAATGTACTGCTAAACATAGAATAAGCACTCAATAAATTTTTGTTCAATGGAATTATTATAACTGCTCAAAATCTTTCAAATTCGAGGACAAATTTATCCCATTCAGCAGTAATCCTACATAGACACAATAATTCTGTGTAATGAACTCATGCAATATGCTATTCAAGATGGATTAACAGAGGTACCTTGCTATACCAAGCTATAACAAAAAACTCTAAAATCTCAATATCTTAACCTACTAGAGATTTATTTCTTAAGAGAGAGAACCACCATTCTCTAGGGTCTTGCGGTCCTCTACTAGATCCTTTGCATTTGGCTGGCAGATAGGGAAGCAAGACGATGTAGATGATAGTCACAGTTCTTCTCTACCTTAGCCTGGAAATGGCCTACATCACTCTGCTCACATCCCATTAGGAGAACTTTTCACATGGCTCCACCAAATTGCAAGAGGGCTGGGAAGGGTAGTTGAAGTGTGTGCCCAAGAAAAAGAGAAGAACAAGCAGTTTTAGCTGTAACATGTTTCCTTGCATAACTCCTAAAATGGCACTCATTTAATAATATAAAATTTAATTAAAACACACTTTTCTTCTATATTGAATGTTTCTTGTTGAGGTAGTTGCAGTAAAGGGGGAAGAGATCTTTGTTTTCTAAATATTAATGATTCATCTGCCTACTGTTACAGAGGTCACTATGAGCATATATAAAATTAATTTGAAATCATCTGATGGATGACATTTAATAGTATAATGTAAATATATTACAAACAATTGCCAAAGAAAAGTATAATTTTTTTTTTTTTGAGATGGAGTCTTGCTCTGTTGACCAGGCTGGAGCACAATGGCGTGATCTCTACTCGCTGCAACTTCCTCCTCCTTGGTTCAAGCAATTCTCCTGTTTCAGCCTCCTGAGTTGCTGGGATTACAGGCACACACCACCAGGCCTGGCTAATTTTTGTATTTTTAGTAGAGATGGGGCTTTGCCATGTTGGCCAGGCTGGTCTCGAACTCCTGACCTCAGGTGATCCACCCGCCTCAGCCTCCCAAAGTGCTGGGGTTACAGGCATGAGCCACTGTGCCCGGCCAGAAAATTATACGTCTTGTAAAAGATGCTAGATTTTATGCTGTTAATAAACATGAAATTAGTGAACTTTTTGAACCATACTTCCCAACTCTTCCCCAAAATCTGATAAAGACAAAGTTGAAAGGATTAACAAGTGAAGAAGAAAAGTGAGACGCCAGAATTTTGATCAAATATGTACTTTAGAGTTGAATAATTTAATATCAAAAGTTAAGAGGAACCATTGGGAAGGCTAGCGAAGCCTTCAAATTTATTTTTAAATATTTGCCCTTCTTATGATCATGCTACAGAAATCATTTATGACGTGAAAAACATTATATCTCCTGTATATGTTCATAATTACACGTATACTACTTATACACAAAAGCCGGCATTTGATTTACTTGCTGTTTGGTCTAGCAACTAGTGTAAAACTATTATTTTCACCCAATTTTTAAAAATGTATATAAAATAAAATAAACTTAAATTCATAATTTTTTCTCTTTCATATATCAGGCTTATTTCAATATTAAATCATTTTTTCACTACTTCCTATGAAATTTTGGTCACTACTTTAAGTGGAATTAAATTTCTCAGTACAAAATGTGTTCGAATAGCAAGGTTTTCCTGTCATGAAGAAGCACTGGACTTGCACTGAGAAGGCCTGCATGTGTGCTAGCCTATTTAGTGAGGAGGAGAGGGTAGGGATAGCTAACCTTTGTTTAAACTATCCAACAGCTAGGTAGACATACAAGTTCATGCACAAATGTTCTTGAATATCATTATGCATTGCAAGGGAAGTAACAGAACGGGCTCAGGCACAGAAAGGGGGAGGACTGATTGGGGGAGAGCATGGGACAAGGCTGGAAGCCAGCGTAGAAGGGCAAGATCATGCTCCCAGGGGGTTGACCAGCAGCCTGACAGGCCTCTTAGTCATTCCTTAAAAGTGTAGAGATGTTTAATGTACTGCTCTGGACTGGAGTGACATCCATGTATATTAACGTCATCTCTACAGTGGTTGTTAAGATAAAATGTCAGAATATATGTAAACTGTAAAGTGCTATGCAAATCTTAGGTATATTTTAATCATTGTTATTATCTTGAGATATATGATATTAGAAAATTCTTACACTTGAATTCCTTTCCTTTATTTTTATCATTCTGTTAGAAATATTTTTAAATGCCCTCTGCGATATTAAAACCCATGAGCCATGGGTTATTTATAAGTGTGTTAATTTCCAAAGATTTGAAGTTTTCCGCCATATGTTATTAATCTAACTCCATCATGTGCAGGGAACATACCCAGTAGTATTTCAGCTGGTTGAAATGAGAGGTTTTCTATGCCCCAGCACTTGGTCTATACTCGGGAACCTGCTGCTCCCACTGCTCGCACTTGAAAAGAATGTGCGTTTTGCAGTGATTGGGTAAGACGGTCTATAAATATCAATTGGGTCAAGGTGGTTAATACAGTTTTAGAAAAAACTTAAAAAATGTCTCTTTAGTTTTAGAAAAAAAATTAAATACCTAATCATTTTGGGAATAGAAATTAAATTCGGTAAATTCAAGTGCTAGACTATTCTATTGCTAAGCACACATGAACAATTTTACTTTGTTGACATTCTCAAACTTGGAAAATTCTCTCACTAGCTCACCATGGCTCACTGCTTTTTCCTTCCAGACAGATTTCCTGAGTAGATGAGAATGACTAAACACAGTTACTGATGTCTAACTTTATACAAATCACAAAAAAATATTTATCATCGGAACTTCAGAAGTATCACAGCACTTTAAGCCTCAGTTTTCCAAGCATTTTCTTTTTCAAGGGTTGTACAAAGCTAGAGTGACCATAAATCTGGAAATGTTTACGTTTTGCTCTTCTTAATCACTGAATGCACGATCAATCGAAACAGCCAATTCTGCTGAATAAATAAGAAGCTCAAGTCTTCAAGCAATCTATCTTCTACTGCTGGTGTTCGGTTATGAATTATATTTTCCATATAAGCCAGAATGATGGCCTGATGTTCAAGGTTCAATATAAACAAAAACACCAGGAAACATTCATTTAAAATTGAAAGGTATCGGAATATGCCACCCTAAAATATGCCACTTTGGCATAAGGATTATTTTGAACCGAAGGCAATTGAGAAATAGCAGATAGAAGAAAAGTATCTGCCCTTCCCCTATTTGCAGGACATTAATTTTTAAAGGCGTATCCCCTCCCATCTCTACCAGGAAGAGCTGAAGTTCTTCTGACACCTTAGGTGGTGCCAGAGAAATACAGGTAACAGACGTTGCTAAAACTAGCTCTTATCTACCACTAGTTTCCCCATAAATTTACCTTCCTACAATTTGCCACCCTAAAAACTCAAAGTCCTTTTCCTTTGTCTTATCACTTCTCTATAAATTTATTGTTCTAATGACCGACCTCGAGTTACTGAGTGCTTCCATGTGTATGTGTGATGCACATGTTAATAAACTTCTGTTTGTTTTTCTTCTGTTAATCTGACTTTTGTCAGTCTAATTAACAGAGCCCCAGTCAGAAAACCTAGGAGGGGTGAGGGAAAAAGATGAGTTTTCTTGCCTCCAAAATCAAATGCATATTAGCCTTTGCTTCCTCTCTCTCTGTACTCACCATCTCCCCTTCACCTTCCACCAAGAGTGGAAACAGCCTGAGGCCCTCACCAGACGAAAATGACCAATCTTGAACATTCCAAATATCAGAATCATGAACCAAATAAACCTTTTTAAATAAATTAAATAAAAGTCAAATGCATTTTAATTTGATTGGTACACTGTATCAGTCAGGGACTTGAGCTGCAGGCAACTGAATTCAACACTGGCTGATTTGAGCTGAAAAAAACATTTAGGAATAGCAGATAGCTCACACAAATGGTAGGCAGGATAGATAGTTCGGATTTGAAAATGCACAGGAAACAAGGCGAATCTGAGTCTGTGGCCTGTTCACTGTATGCAGTTGCAGTCACCTGAGAACCTAAGCGGCTGCTACATTCCTTTTTTTGTCTTCATAGCTTCCCATGAAAAGTTCTGTAACTCCCCAGTGGGCTCACCTTGCCTGCTGCCTAGACAGAGAAGATTTACCAAAACAGGGGAATTCCAATAGAGAAAAAGTAATTCTTGGGAAGCCAAGGTGGGTGGATCACTTGAGGTCAGGAGTTCAAGACCAGCCTGACCAAAATGGCGAAACCCCATCTCTACTTAAACATACAAAAATTAGCCTGGCATGGTGGCACACACGCCTGTAATCCCAGCTACTGGGGACAGGAGAATCGCTGGAACCTGGGAGGCAGAGGTTGAAGTGAGCTGAGATCACTGCACTCCAGCCTGGGTGACAGAGACTCCATCTCAAAAATAAATAAAATAAAATAACCTTCAGCTGCATGACTCCTAAACCATAATTTCTAATCTTGTGGCTAATTTGTTAGTCCTACAAAGACAGTCTAGTCTCTAGGCCAGAAGGAGGTTTGCTTTGGGAAAGGGCTGTTAGATTCTTTGTTTCAAATTATAAACTAAGTTCCTCCCAACGTTAGTTCAGCCTACGCCCAGAACAAACAAGGAGAGCCTGGAGGTTAGAAGCAAGATGGAGTTGGTTAGGTCAGATCTGTTTCACTGTCTCAGTTATAATTTTGCAATGGCGGCTTCAGTTCCAAGTAGGAGCATCTGATTAACCAAGCCTATTCACCATGACTCAGCCACCA
Organism: Homo sapiens; assembly: GCF_000001405.40. Classification (NCBI taxonomy): domain Eukaryota; kingdom Metazoa; phylum Chordata; class Mammalia; order Primates; family Hominidae; genus Homo; species Homo sapiens. Next base: position 9,025,762 of record NC_000020.11, on the reverse strand, counting down.
CATAAGGAGGGAAAGCTATTCATTTTTTTTTTTCCAGCGTCTAAAAAGGAGTTAAGCTCTACATTTTACCAAGCCTCATAAAGCAGGAAATATCTCCCAAATAAGAAGAATTCAGACAATAGCAGGGAAAAAGAGAGAATACCCACTTAATACATTCTTCCTTTCTGTTTCTATAGTTGATTATATTCATTCCAATAAGGCAAAGGGAGGGCTTTTTGTCTGTTTTATTTACTTGTTTCATATTTTGATTTGTCTTAAAGAAGTAGATAGCACTTCAGCATGTGTTTATCTACACATTGGTTTATCTACACATGGAATCGGAAGAATTGGGTTTCATACTAGATTTGTTATTGACTAGCTGTGTGATCTTAGTCAAGTCACTATTTCCTTGAGCTTTGGTTTCCTCACCTATAAAAGAGGGAATTGGAGTAGAGGAACCCTCCATGTCTGTCAGCACTATCCAACAGAACTGCCTGTGATGTTGGAAATGCTCCGCCTCTGGGCTGTTCATCATGGAAGCCAGTTGCCAATGAGACTGTTGAAATGTGGTTTGTGTGATTGGAAAATGGTATCTGGGCGGGGCCCAGTGGCTCACGCCTGTACTCTCAGCACTTTGGGACGCCAAGGCAGGCGGACCACTTGAGGTCTGGAGTTTGAGACCCACCTGACCAACATGGTGAAACCCCATCTCTACCAAAAGTATAAAAATTAGCCAGGCATGGTGGTGCATGCCTGTAATCCCAGCTACTCAAGAGGCTGAGGCAGGAGAATCGCTTGAACCCAGGAGGCGGAGGTTGCAGTGAGCCAAGATCACGTCACTGCATTCCAGACTGGGTGACAGAGCAAGACTCCATCTCAAATAAAAAAGAAAAAAAGAAAAATAGTATTTCAATTCTACTTAATTTTAACTAATTTAAGTTTAAGTAGTCATATGTGACTAGTACTACTAACTTGGGCAGTACAACTGTAGATTTTAAGCCCCGTAAAAGCAAAAAGCCCTGTCTGTTTTGCTAATTATCTAGTTGCAGGGTCAAAGTCTAGACAGTAACTGGTGGAGTGTTTCACACATTGCAAGATTCCATTACATATTCCTCTGGCCACTAATATGCCAGGCACTGTTCTAGGCACTGGGCATCAACTTGCAAACACAACAGGTGCAAACCACTGTTCTCATGGCACTTATATTCTACTGGGGAACATACACAATTAAACATATATATGAGTAAAATATTCAGTACTGTATATTGAATGGTGATAAGAATTAAAGGAGAAAAATAATCAGAAGAATGATAGGGAGTGTGAGTGCTAGGGCAGGGGGATTATTATTTAAATAGATCAGGCAATGAGAAGGTGACATTCCAGTAAAGACTTGCCTGAGGCATGGGAGCTAGCCATGCTGGGAGGAAATATTGTTCCAGGCAAAGGTCCCAAGGTGAGATTATGCCTGGAGAGTTCCAGAAACAGCAAGAGGCCAGTGTTGGAGGGAACAAGGGGAGTTACGTTAGGTAAAGAGTTTAAAAGTTGGGCTGGTGCAGTGGCTCGTGCCTGTAATCCCAGCACTTTCAGAGGCTCAGGTGGGGAGATCACGTGAGGTCATGGGTTTGAGATCAGCCTGGCCAACATGGTGAAACCCCATCTCTACTAAAAATACAAAAATTATCCAAGTATGGTGGTGTACCCCTGTAATCCCAGCTACTTGGGAGGCTGAGGCATGAGAATCCCTTGAACCCAGGAGGCAGAGGTTGCAGTGAGCCAAGATAGTGCTATTGCATTCCAGCCTGGGTGACAGAGTGAGACTCTGTCTCAAAAAAAAAAAAAGGGTAACTTAGTATACCTGTGTTGAGGAGGGAAGGGGAACATGTAGGGCTTGGGAAGCTTTTGTTTTTTTAAAACCTCTGGCTTTACTTTGAGTGAAATGGGGTTCACTGGAGGGTTTTGAACAGAGGACTGTGATATATCTGATTTGTGGAGGTTTTTTTCAAATTTTTTAATTTTAATTTTAATTTTTATTTATTTATTTATTTATTTTTTTGAGATGGTGTCTTGCTCTGTCACCCAGGCTAGAGTGCAGTAGTGCCATCTCGGCTCACTGCAAACTCCACCTCCTGGGTTCAAGTGATTCTCCTGCTTCAGCCTCCCAAGTAGCTGGGATTACAGGCGCCTACCACTGCACCCAGCTAATTTTTGTATTTTTAGTAGAGACGGGGTTTCACCATCTTGGCCAGGCTGGTCTTGAACTCCTGACCTCATGATCCCCCTGCCTTGGCTTCCCAAAGTGCGGGGATTACAGGTGTGAGCCACAGCACCCAGCCCCACCCCTCTCTTTTTTCTTTTTTAAGAGACAGAGTCTCACATGTCACCCTGGCTGGAGTGCAGTGGTATGATGTTGATTGCACTCTTGAACTCCCAGGCTCAAGTGATCCTCCTGCCTCAGCCTCCTGAGTAGATGGGACCACAGGTGTGCGCCACCACACCCGGAAAGTTTTTTTTATTTTTTGTATTGATGGGGTCTCCCTGTGTTGCTACACAGGGAGTAACTCCTAGGCTCAAGCAATCCTCCTGACTCTGCCTCCCAAAGTGCTGTGATTATAGGTGTGAGCCACCACACTTGGCCTGATTTGTGTTTTCGAGGGATCACTCTTGCTGCCCCCTTAAGAATGTTGTGGGCCAAGGATGGATATCATAGGGCCATGCAGAGAGATATTCTAACAGTGCAGGCAAGAGATCGTGCTGACTGGGACCATGAGAACAGTGAAGGTGGTGAGAATGATGAAGTTCTGGTTTTAAAGGGAATGCCAACCACATTAGCTAACAGATTGGCCATGGACTGTGAGGTAAAGAGATCAGGCAAAGATGACCACAGTTACTTTGGCCAGGGCAACTAGAAGAATGGAGTTGCTATTCACTAGGGTGGACAGGACTGTGGATGGAGCAGGTTCAGGGAGCAGACCAAGAGTTTCATTTGGCATTTATTATGTCCAAATCTGGAATGCAGAATGAACATGCTCTCTGGAGCTTCCAGCTGCACTGATACAGGAGTCTGCCATTGTAGCAGCCTGTACTGGCTGCCCACCCTAATGGATCCTTAATGGGATCTTAATGGGACCCCAGAGAAGCATGATGTTCTGAAGCTTGCTCTACTGCTCTGTCAAGATGTGGAGAATCTCCCTAGCTACCTCCTTTCCTTCCTGAACCCTCAGCTGTCTATGACTGCCCATATCCCAAAGGGCAGAACATCCAGCTGCACTGGCCGCTGTTCATTCTGCCTAAAGGAAGCTGTCTAGACAAAGTCTTTCACTCCTTGCTAATACAGTTTTTTTTTTTAAATTAATTTTAAGGTGGTGAATAGACGATATTGTGTTTGTTCCCAAAGGTACTTACCTTCCACAACTAGAAAGCATTATTCAATTTTAGCACAAAGAAATGTTTAGAATGTTTATCCTGGGGACAAAATATTGCCTTATTAGAACATTTAAAACTAAATTTGTCTTTGTTTTACATAACTTTGTTTAAAACCAGAAAGATATGACATAGAAAATAAATGCAATTAACTTTGAAATGCACAGACATTGGGGTCAAGAAATAACTGACAGCTTTTTATATATACATATATTCCCATCAGCCCTGGAAAGGATTTTCTAGGTTTTGGAATCTTTCATTTACGAAAATCTAGAAGTCTGGCATTTGCTTATTCTTGGAGAGGTGCCAAGAAAGTGAGATGTTTGTCATCTGATAGGACAGAAGGCCTCTTTGATTTCTTGGGAGAGCACAAACTTGGAGAAAGTGAAGCCTGTGGAAAGGTAACTGGAAAGGAAAGCCCCATAGAATGCATACAGGTCTGCCAAGCTTTCTCCTGGGGAAGGATTTGCAGAACAGAGACTGCATTGTTAGTCCACAAGTTACCCAAGACATCTCCCTATTCCTCCCTGCTGAGTTCCTGACTAGGACCTAATTTAAAACCCAGAGATTTGCTTCTGGGTCCTAAATGTGCCCATGTTTCTTCTGTCATGAGCAACGACTCAGGCTAGCTGTTTGCTTCTCTCACGTGGCCTCTCTGTATCCATGCTAGCCCGTAATTCCCATATCCCCCCTAAAGACTTCCTATGGAAAGGGTTTGTTTATCTGCCCATGAAGAGGAGCCCTCATTTTAAGCAATCTGTGTCCACTGGTGTATCCATTTTCACTCCCAATTGGCACTGTTGGTTCTCCACTCGTATCCTGTTTACTGTCCTGCACCCTCATCCTTCAGCTGCCACGAGAGCTGCAGCTAATGGCTCACAGTTGCACCCTTCCCTGGAGAATTGCCCTTGACTGATGGGAGTCACCTGGTCTGGAGATGCCTGGCAGGTTAACTCTCCCATGACCAAGTGGCTGTGACTAATAAGTAAGAGGGCACAAAAGCCTGGTCTCTTTGACCCAGTACCAGACAACTTTGCTATGCAATTTGTGCTCCAGAGCACCCCCACACCGATCAGGTTGAGGCTACCATTCTTGAGGCCTCACCCTTGCTTGGTTCCTTCCAATTCTGTATTCTACTTCCTTCTCTCTCCCATAGGTCTTCTGAACGTACCTCCTTAATAAATTATGTGCACACACATCCTTGGTTCAGGCTCTGCTTCTAGAAAACCCAAGACAATGGTCTCCTGATCCCAGAGTGAGGAGTACATAGTATACTGTCTTATCTTGGGAGAAAAAAAAAAAAAGCCCTGCTATTTTTGGTGCTATCAAACAGATTCCCTTGAGGTATACAAACACAACATGTAGTGAGCCTGTAGAAGACCATTGACAACTGTCTGTTGTCCCTCAAAGAGATGCTTGCTGGTGTTTGGCACTCACCTGAATATGACAGATTGCTGCAAGGCTGAATTTGTGGATAAATACTACCTAACTATGACTACAACATGAGTGAGTAACAGACATGGCAATTACAAGGATTTGATAAAAGATGATTTTAACCTGCAGAAGTGTCAATTGTTTTGAGTGTCTACTGAGTTTCTTCATGACGCTCTATTTTTTAACTAAGTCAAAAATTATTTGGGTGGAGTTCTCCAAAGACAACCTAATACCTTTTTTCCCTCAAAGTATGGTTCATGGACCAGTAGCATCAGCATCACCTGGGAGCTCATTAGAAATGCAGAATCTTGGCTGCATGGCTTATGCCTGTAATCCCAGCACTTCGGGAGGCCGAGTTGAGTGGATCACTTGCGGTCAGAAGATTGAGGCATGCCTGGCCAACATAGTGAAACCCCGTCTCTACTAAAAATATAAAAATTAGCTAGGAGTGATGGTGCGTGCCTGTAATCCCAGCTAATCAGGAGGCTGAGGCAGGGAGAATTGTTTGAACCTGGGAGGCTAAGGTTGTGGTGAACCAAGATCGCGCCACTGCACTCCAGCCTGGGTGACAGAATGAGACTCTGTCTCAAAAAAAAAAAAAAAAAAAAAAAAATTGCAGAATCCTGTGGACCCCAACCCAGACTGGCTGAATTAGAATTTGCAACAAGATCTCCTAGGAGATTCTTATGCATGTGAAAGTTTGAGAACACTAGCTCAAAGACATTCTATTGGTGAGTTCTGCTTGGTTATAATAACTGTGCAAAAATTTGAAAGTGATAGAATTCACAACAACTATAGCTCATGGTAGAATAACAACTCAGTCATCTAGAGATCAATGATTCTGTAGCTTGAACCACCCAGGACACAGGCTAGCACTGAGGGTGTTATGCAAAAGATCTCTGAGAAACCAAAATAGATGTCACAAAGACCACAAACCAAAACTCACTTGTCTTAGAGGAAATCTCCTTAGACTCTCTCTTAGTTGACATTTATTTTTAGCTGTGTGTTCAGTCTAATAAGATTAGTTATCTGGTTTGAAAGCCTTCTGGAAATTTGAAAGAGCAATTAAAAGGAGAAAAGTGATCTCCTGGAGTTCTCAAAATATAATCTTGGGACCAGGGGCATCAGCATGCGCTGAGGACTTGCTAGAAATGCAAAGATTGGGTCTACCCCTGACCTAGTGAAATAGAAATGTGGGGGTGTGATCCAGCCACCTGTGGTTCAACAAGCCTCTCAGGTGATTCTGATGCATGCTCAAATTTTGTTTCCATTGTCCTGGAGGAAGCGAAGAGTGAAACTGATGACAAGGGAAGAGATGGGGAAAACAAATAAAGAGAGGAACTGAACAGGCTGGGAAGTCTTAGGATCATTTTGGTTTGGTTAAGGGGGTGAGCTAGGGCAGATTTTAGTAGGCAGAGGGTCGTGAAACAATTGCATGGCTGGGGTATTTATTTTTGAAGTAAGACAGAGAAAATGCTAGAAACGCTGTGAGGAAGTCATTGCAGGCTATTCAAGGAGTTTGGCTTTTGTACTCCCAAGTACTGTGGAGTCTTAATCTTTAAGTGGTAGAGTAACCTGATTAAAAAAGAAAAAAAAAGTTTTGTAGCTTACAGGAAGAGGATTTCATTATTTAAAGATTATCCAGTGATGCTGAATAAATGCAGCACTATTATATTCAGTTAAACCAGGAACAATGTCATGTAGATAACCCTGAAGTCACTGACACAAGGCTCTTCTGTAATAGGATCTAGTTGTACCCGTTATGATGTACTTGAGACTTGGAGATAGAAATCTTCACAGAAAATGGAAACAGTCATGTTAACATTTCAGGGCACCTTTCCTTGTTATATAACATAACTGTATCTCTCTTCAAAACACTTTCTTTCTATATTGTTCTAACAATATTTCCATAATGTCAATTTTGGTTTCCCATTTTCCCTTCATATCTTTGTGCTTTTAGCCAGTTATATAAGCCATAGTCAGCTTCTAGTTTGCAATTGATTTTTGAGTAGATACAAAAATTAAAAAAAAATATGAAACCACGACTTTAATATTTGTACAAACCATAATGTAATTCAGCCTATGTTATATACTGACTCATTACTAGTTATAATTTTCTTTTGCTTTCTTAAATTTTTCTTGTTTATTTTTGATGAATTATGTAGACTGACACAAAATTGCACACCATGTTGCTCTGCCAGATCTGTAGCTGGGTGATAATGCTAAAACAAAAGGTCTAAAATGTCCTTTAGAGTGGAGAAATACAGAGGGTACATTAAAATACATTGTTCCGTGAGCATTATTCAGAAGCAGCACTGCTTGGTGTTTTGTTTAAATTATCAAAGAGTTAAAAAACAAAACAAAACTGGATGATGTCTTGGTGGCTTCAGGAAGTTCATGTGTCTCCTTTAAACCCCAGCATCAAAAGAAATAACATTATGTTAAGACACATGTTAATTCAGGGTAGACTGCTTCCAGGATAAAGGAACACTTACCCTGCCTGAATGGAAGAGCCTGTACTTTTGCACTTAACTAAATACAGCTCTTGGGGTGTGTAAGTACCTTGATACCACTAACCTAATACAGAGAGATGCCAGCTCTAATGACTAGCACGGTTTCAATGTATTTTAGTTCTCTTTGATACGGATCTTCTTGAAACAGAAAAGAAAGTCATGGGTTGCTTCAAAAAGCATTCCTGAAACATTGACAAAATGTTCTCTGCAGTTTTACTATCAATGGTGGTCTTTCATTTATTGCAAAATAGGACACCTACTTATGCAACTGAAACAAATGAAAAACACATTACTGGATTTTTTTTTTTTTTTTTTTTAGTGGTTATATAACCTTTCAGAGATAAGCAAACCGTACTTTTTATATGAGGATACATAGAGACATGATGGATGTTCGTTTCATAATGATGTAAAAAATAATATTTATATGAGCGATGTTGGGGCAGAATAGCTTTGTAGGGGAAAATATGTATACATTTTTATATAGTACCTGGGTTTTGGCCTTATGGGTTGATGCAGTGTCAAAATTCCCAAAGATTTTGAATACCTCTCTCATGGGTATAACACACACACATATACATATTCCTAGATGAATTACACATCTAAAAGTGCTATGTTCTAAAAATAAGGAGGAGCCAGGTGCAGTGGCTCATGCCTGTGATCCCAGCACTTTGAGAGGCTGAGGCGGGTGGATCACTTGATGTCAGGAGTTCGAGACCAGCTTGGCCAACATGGTGAAACCCTGTCTTTAGTACAAATACAAAAACTAGCCAGGTGAGTTTGTGGGCACCTGTAATCCCAGCCTCTCGGGAGGCTGAGGCAGGAGAACTGCTTGAACTTGGGAGGCAGACATTGCAGTGAGCCAAGATCATGCCACTTCACTCCAGCCTGGGTGACAGAGTGAGAATCTGTCTCAAAAAAATAAAAAATAAAAATAAAAATAAAGAGGAGAAAAAGGTACAGTCATTTTATAATCTACCATTCCCATATTCCTCCAAAATGAGAAAATAATAGCTGCTAATTTTATTAAATCCAATTTAAAGTATTAATTATTATTAATTATAAACTATTATAATAATAGGCACATATACTCAAGGTGGTTTTAAAATTTCTTAATTGGAAGAGAAGTGCCTCATTCATATGCTGCTTTCTTTATCTGGACTCTTTCACTTCTCCAAAACCTGCAACCCCTTAGTTTTGCCTCAACAGGTTAAAGTCTTATTTTACCGGGATCTCTGATTGGAAGTCACCACCTTTAAGAAGGCTTCTGTGATTTCCTTCCACCAAAAAGTCTGAATCAGTAGCTTCTTTTTTGTATGCCCGTGATGCCTCCCCATCTTAACACTTATAACTCTGTATTTAAATTCCCAGCTTTCCTGTCTCCTTGGGAGACTGAATCCTTTTAAGAATTGGAAGGAAGGCTTGTTTGCTGTGATGTCCTTAGGGCTGAGTACAGTTGTTGAAGAAGGATTTAATTGTCAAATGAGTGAATGCCTGTATTTTCAGAACTTTTTATGCTCTGGTTAGTATGTCCAACCATCAAAAAAGATCCATAATCCAAAAAAGTCCATAATGCCACTGAATGTGGCAGTTCATAACATTTGACTCATCTTTTCCATAGATTTACAATTAAAACTTCGGCCATACACATGTAGTGGTTAACAGACTCTGGAGCCAGAATGCTGGGGTTCAAACCACAGCTCTGAGAGACATTGGAAAATTTGCTTAAACTCTCCATTACTTGTTTTCTCATTAGTAGAAGATTTAATTAATTCATGTGTATGCAGCAATTTGAACAGTGCCTGGGAGATAGTAAGTTTGCCTAAGTTTGTTATTTTAATATTATTATTTTATTAATATTTGTAAAATAACCCAGTGACTAATATGATATTTGGCTATATTTTGACAAACCAGTTCTCTAAATATATACATTTATTTTCTTGCCCATTTTTATCTATCAATTGGGATGAAAAATACAAACGCTGAAGTCAAATAAAGATATGATAATATTTCCACTTTCTCTCTTCCAAAGGTATTTTTTCTTAATTTTCCACAATCATAAAATGTAAGCCCTCTCTTGCAATCCTCTTTGCACTGAAAATAATCTCATGCTTTGACATAATTTGAGATTCAAACTTGACATGAGTTCCACTTTCATTTTCCAGTGCCAGAGTACTGCGGGCTATGATGAAAGAAGGCATTCCATGTGCCAAATCCTCAAACCAAATACATGTATCCTCTGAGTTCAGAATTGTGAGAGTGAGGCCTGTTATTATTAGACTGATAAAGTAACAAGAGTATTTTGCACACAGGTGGTATCTACTCAATGCATATGTCAATGCAGTGTCACTTCTGCCACATTCTATTCATGAGAACAGAGTCACTGAGGCCAGCCCATTCTCAGGGAGGACATTCCTTATGGGTAAGACATTCCTTACCCATTCCTTATGGGTAAGACATTCCTTACCCATTCCTTATGGGTAAGACATTCCTTACCCATTCCTTATGGGTAAGACATTCCTTACCCATTCCTTATGGGTAAGACATTCCTTACCCATTCCTTATGGGTAAGACATTCCTTACCCATTCCTTATGCGTAAGACATTCCTTACCCATTCCTTATGGGTAAGACATTCCTTACCCATTCCTTATGGGTAAGACATTCCTTACCCATTCCTTATGGGTAAGACATTCCTTACCCATTCCTTATGGGTAAGACATTCCTTACCCATTCCTTATGCGTAAGACATTCCTTACCCATTCCTTATGGGTAAGACATTCCTTACCCATTCCTTATGGGTAAGACATTCCTTACCCATTCCTTATGGGTAAGACATTCCTCTGCACGCTCTTTGGCTTAATATTTATACGAGGAAGACTGAGATGGTTCAATTGCCACAAATATCCTTCTTTTTGGTGTGCCAAAATCTCAGAAATCACCACTAAAGAACTTATTCATAACCAAACACCACCTGTTCCCCAAAAACATACGGAAATAAAAAATAAATTTTTAAAAAAGGACAAAATAAACCCCCATGATTAAAAAAATTCATCTTTAAAATTTCCCTATGTATACCTATCCTGAAAAACTTAGACACCTCTATAGCTTTGATTTTAAGCTTTTATTTTATTCATCGTTTACATATTACCCATTGACAAGCAATCAAAAAACTGTCTCCTGAAACACATGAATATAAAACGACCACTCTCCTATAACCTTTCACAGACAAAATATTGTTCCTGAAGTAAGGAACAGGCATGTATCTATGCATATTGTCCACAAAATAATTGCAGAAACATCCACCTTTCTAAAGCTTTCACCCCCAGTGCATCAGTGTTTACTCACTTTGAAGAAACCATTGTTCTCATTTGATACCAAGGAAAAAGAAAAAGACAGCAAAACCGGGATGGAGGGTTATTTCTTTAAGCCACAGAAAGACTTGGAGAGAACAGGAGGGAAGTTTCTGGGGCTTCCCTTTGTTAAATAACCTCCTTTGTTCATCTGTTTTGTCAGTTTTCAATAGTAGTATTATTTTTGTCTGTACCAGCAGAACAGATCTTCAGCCAAAAAGAAAGAAAAGGCAAACCTTGAACATTGATTTTTTTTTTAGAAATCACTTAAAAATTGATTCCACTTAGAGATATGAAGCTCTAACCTTACCAATTATCTGTGTATAGTCCCAGGGGCAAAACCTTGAATGAACATCCAGCAGTTGCAGCATTAATATGTCTATACTCCTCTCTTCCACCATAAATGGATAAGAAAACTTATGAACAACACATAACAGAATGCTACTTAAAATTTTAACCTGACTTGAGTAGATAAGGCTTAATAATCTGTGCTTGCAGTACAGAATCCTAAAAAATTAATGTGCTACTGCTCTGATTTCACTAATTTAAGTGAAAGAATTTTACCATGGGCATACATTTTGTTCCAGGAAAATAAAAATTTTAATGTAATTCTCAAAGAGTTTATGAAGTGTAGGGAGAGAATTTACTACCAGAAGAATGTGGCCCAATGAGATTTCCAGCCTGGGCAACAACAATATTATCTAATAAAAAGCATAATGAATACATGCTACAGAATGTTAATTATTACCATAGGATAATTTAGGCATCTTCAGATGGCATCTGCAGGCTATTCTGTCAAGCATGCATTTTATGTGTGGACTGTTGTCTCTGTGTCAGGCTTTCTGAATTAATCCAATGGCTCCTTACTGCCTGTATCTCACGGTTTGGAAGTCCATCACCATTTGGCCCAGTAGCTTTCATTTGCTTGGGTGCAGATTCCCGATATAATAATCACTATCATTTATCAGGCACTGTTTTCTAACCAGTGGGCTAAGTTTACATGAATTATTCCATTTATGCTTATTATAAAATCTTTGTTTTATGTAAAAACAATATTACAGAGGACAAGAAACTTGTCGGATATCTTGCGCTTGGGAAATAACCAACTAAGTTTTGAAACTAAGTGGTCTGTCTCCAAAACTGATGACTTTAACCACTGGGCTACATTGTCTCACACATTATTTTTTAAATCAAATATGCAGCGTACTAAGTCAGTTCTAGTTTATTTACAGCAGTTGAGATTATTACAAGTGACAGCTAGTCCTAACATCATTTACTTCATTTGCTTGTTTGATATGTGATATATCCTGTACTCTGAGATGGTACTTTGTGGTTTAAAGTTTATGCTTTAAAATTACCATTTACTGACCATCTACCATGTAACTCATTAATATGATTATTTACAAATAGCTCTATATCAAACCAATTTGACCTCAGTGTCACAAAACAACAACCGTTTATTATCATTACCTCTCATGGTTCTGAAAGTCAAATGGGCTCTATTGGCAGGCTCTTGGTTGCAGCTTCTCCTGCACTTGCAGCTTGATGGTGGCTGTGTAATCAGGCACAGGACAGAGTTGGGTCATCTTGGAAACTTCTTCACTTTCATGCCTGGTGCCTGGGCTAGGAAGACACAAGCAGCTGTGGGCTGGAGCAGCGGGGGCTCTATATCTACGTGATCTCTCTAGAATGGCAGCTTCAGGTAGCCAGGTTTCTTATATGGTAGCCCAGAACTCCAAAAGCATATGCCCTGAGAGAGACTTGAAAGTCATGCAGTGTCACTTCTGCCACATTCTGTTAATGAGAACAGAGTCACTGAGGCCAGCGCATCCTCAGGGAGGAGAATTACACTCTATCAAGTGATAGAACGACAAAGAATTTGCAGGCATGTTGTAAAACCACTATAGGCACAATCATAAGCACGCTGCATACTATCTCAGTTAATTATCAAATTAGCAATACAAAGCAGACATCTTCATAGGACGGTGAAGTAAGCTGACTTTCAGGTAGGAAGTGACAGAACTTGGATTTAAACTCTTATCTGCCTGAATTCATGATGAAATCCCATTCTCTTTGCTACTGAACTCTAACTACCTGTGTTCAAAAAGATATGAAGTTTCCAGTGGAATTAAAAGAGGAAATTTAAAGATAAAGAGGACCATTTCAAGGGAGTATAGTGAGTCAATAGTACCCATTAGTCATTCACTCAACAAATATGTTTTAAGGCCTACTATGTGCCAGGCAGTAGGGATACAGAGGTATACAAATTGGATGCAAGCAGAATAAGGATATTATCTTCTGGGTGGATCAGTATCACAGTATTTTCCACAGTCCCTATTCTTATGGACATTAGTGTCTAGAGAAACTCACATTTAACAGATAACAAAAATTTAATAATATTTTTACAAATTATGATAAGTGCTCAGAAGGGGAGTAAAGGATGCTGATGAGATTTGTGATGGATGGTCCTCATTCTAGGTGGTTTGTTGGAATGGACAATCATGTTACCTTACCTAACCTCACACAGAAAATAATATAGCTCAGGCCAGGCCAAAAATAGTGTCCTATTGCACTGGTCACAGGGATTCATTTAAGAAAGTCCCATTAGAATCTTTCCTGGAATTCATATATACACAGAGGAAAAAGGAGTTTTCTGCCAGGGTTTCCATGCTGGGAGAATATGCATAGGGGTAAGTGCATAACCATAGTGAAGAAGCATGTCTCACCAAGGATAAATGATGCTGACACACAGAGAGGGAAGAAAGCCATGTGGGGTAGGGGAGAGGAGAGCAGAAGACAGGAGAGGAGAGTAGAAGGGGAAAGGAGAGAAAGAGAGCTGGTAGCACCCCCTGAGCTTAGGCTGGATTACATGGCATCATTGAATTGTCCAGATCACTCTGTACTTACCTGCATAGGCTTGTTCTGCAACTGTCTGTTGCCTTTTCTGTAAAACCCACTCAAATGTGAAGTTGGGACAGGGCCACCCTTGTCCACCAGTTTATCCCTATCCCCTAATAAAATGTCTGGGACATATTTGATGCCTAGTGAGTATTTAGCCAATGAAGGAATGGGTGGATGAGTGAGTGAGTGACTTTGGAAGGATAAAGAAAAAGAACAGCAGAGGAAATTTGCTTTCCTTTTCTAAACACAAGAGAACAATGTCCAACTAAGCTGAGGAGTCAGGGAATATTTTGGCATTTTCATATGTAAAAATACATTAATTTTAAAAATCATATAGTATTGATTCAAATACTACATTATCAATAGTCATCAATTAATAGCATAAAGCATTCAATCATAAAAGAAGAAGTAATTTCTCATTCAAGTGAACATAAATGCAACTTAGCTAATAAAATCAAATATCTCAAACTCTTAAATTACATACAGGTTTCAGAGTCAACTTAGTTTAAGGAAACTCAGTAGTGACAGGTAGAACTCAAAGTCATGAGAAAATTGAGAGGTAATTAAAACCTTCACCTTTGCTAGCTTTCCACTATAACAGGCTTCAAGCCTATAAAAATAATGGTACTCCTAAATCAAACAGCAACTGAAGTTAGTATGATCAGAGAAGAATCCGGAAGCCAGGGCCTTAGGACCAAAACATAACCAGACTGGATGCATCTTCATGAAGCCTCAGATATAATTCTAAAATTACTGGGTTAATTTGCTCTTCTATAGCAAATGGTCCCTGAAAATGATAGTGTAATTTATCACCCAGGCATGTGGATGAAAAGTTGCTGGTGGGTAGCCAGGCCCTGCCTGATCTCATAAATTCTGGTGCTGTGAGATTTCCTCCATCTTCATAGTGAGTTTAATGATGCAGTAGATTTCCATGTTACCACTTTTAATTTCCAGTTCTGGCGACCCAAGCCTTTCTATTAAAAAAAATAAAAACAAACATAAAAGCCCATAAACATTCAGCAATAAAAACTAATGAAGAATCCAGACATAGGGGAAGTTAGATTCTGTTGTTGCTAGTGTTTCTTCTTCTCTAACTATATTAGTCTGTTTTCATGCTGCTGATAAAGACATACCTGAGATTGAGCAATTTACAAAAGAAAGAGGTTTAGTGGACTTACAGTTCCACGTGGCTGAGGGAGGCCTCACAATCATGGTGGAAGGCAAGGAAGGGCAAGTAACGTTTTACATGGATGACAGCTGGCAAAGAGAGAGCTTGTGCAGAGAAACTCCCATTTTTAAAACCATCAGATCTCGTGAGACTCATTCACTATCACAAGAACAGTGCAGGAAAGACCCATCCCCATAATTCAATCACCTTCCACCACGTTCCTCCCATGACACGTGGGAATTGTGGGAGTTACAATTCAACATGACATATCACCACCCAACTTAGAAGACCACAGCTCTCATGATCCTTCCCATCCCAACTCCACCCATCCTAACCTCATTCATCCACACTAAAGAATACATGACAGTGAGTAACCAAAATTATTTGTCTTCCAAAGTGCATTGGTAACTTAGGAGAGCAAAACTTCAAGAGAGGGCAATGGATTCTGATGGTGAAATCTCTGGCATTAGTAAAAAGATAGAGCACATGTTTTGGGGTCCAATGGATTTTTCTAGATATCTCTCTGGCATTGTGGTAGAGTATGTTTTGCAAATGAGCCCAGATGAGAGGCTTACTAGATATTCATAAAATAGAGAATAATCTCTGTTTATCAATTCATTCACCCTTTCTTATTTCTTTCATCAATTAGTGAATATCTGGGATCTATTCTTAATTTGTCCCTTCCTAGTTGAATAAATTTGTTAATTATGTAACCACTTAATGCCTCAATTTCCTCCTCTGTAAAGAGAGGGTAATAGTACTTACCACATAGGGCTATATTGAAGATGAATTAAGTCAAACTTGTCCAACCCACGGTCCATGAGTTGCATGTGGCCTAGGACAGCTTTGAATGAAGCCCAACAAGAATTTGTAAACTTCCTTAAAACATTATGAGATTTTTTGGTGACTTTTTTTTTTTTTAAGCTCATTGGCTATTATTAGTGTTAGTGTATTTTAAGTGTGGCCTAAGACAATTCTTCTTCTAATGTGGCCTAGGGAAGCGAAAAGATTGGACACCCCTGAATTACATGAACACACATAGAGCCCTGTTACCTGCTCGTAGGTGTTTCAGATTCTTATTAATTATTCAGTAACTGCTATTTACCAGTGACTCTGCTAAGCACTAGGTATATAAAGAAAAACAAATGTACTATCCTCAAATGTCTTCTAGTCTAATGGGGAAACAGTCATGCCAACAAAGACAAGAAGTGCTTTCACATGATAAAGGTGAGACTGGAAGTGTTTATTGCAGGAGTCAAAAAGGGCAATGCCACAGGTCTGAACTAAAGCAGTGATTAAGAAAGTGAAGACTTAGAGGGGGTAGAGAGGACAGATTCATGGTCCTTTTAGGAAACAGAATAATGAGACATGGAAACCAAATGGACGTGGAAGGCAAAAGAGTTGAAAGCCTATAAGATGGTTTTAAGTTGCTGTGTTAGGCAACTAAATTGATGGTGATTGTTCCCCTTAGATACAATTAAAGGAAGAAGAATGGAGAAAGTTCAGATATGGACACTTTGTTTCTGAGGTAGAGATTTTACTAAGGAATTGGATACATGGGTCTGGAAAGGTTTAGGTTGATGATTAAGATTTGGGAATTGTCAGCTGATAGGCACTAAAGGAAACCATTGTGTCAGATGAGTTTTGTTCCTCCTTTACTAGGCATGCTACCTGTGTTATTTTAATTAATACTTGTAACAATCCTTGTGTTAGAACATGGTTTCAGCCACATGTGACTGAGACCAAAAATAGCACCGGCTTAAAAATATTCACATTTTCTCTCTTTAGATGTATTCTTGCTAACATATTCTTACTAACAAATGAAGAAGAAATAAAAGAATCAGAATTATTTCCATTTTGCAATCCCTAAAAATGACTGAGAGATAGATTGATTGATCTAGGTACTGATCTGCAATACCTGCTGACATCATAACAAAAGCAGAACATATGTGCTTCCAAATTAAAGTAGACACCACCATTTTGAAGTAATTTTTCTAAAAGATGTCTTATTTTTATTAAGCTTGTAGATCTAACTACCAATTTATGAAAAAACACAGTGAATGAAGGAACATGTTAAACAACACTTAGGAAATGCTAATTATCAAATCAAGACGGTGAAAAACAAAACAGGACAAAATAAATGGTTTATTGGCTGGGAGCAGTGGCTCATGCCTGTAATCCCAGCACTTTGGGAGGCCGAGGTGGACGGATCACCTGGGGTCAGGAGTTTGAGACCAGCCTGGCCAATATGGTAAAACCCTGTCTCTACTAAGAATACAAAAATTAGCCAGGAGTGGTAACTTACACCTGTAGTCCCAGCTACTCGGGAGACTGAGGCAGGAAAACAGGTCGAACCCAGGAGGTAGAAGTTGCAGTGATGGCGCCAGTGCACTCCCGCCTGGGCAACAGAGCAAGACTTCGTCTCAAAAAAGAAAAAAGGAAAAGAAAAAGAAATGGTATATTCAACAAAAATTTCAAGGACAAAAATATTCAAGGTGTAGATTTTGTCAACCAAATATAATATATAAACCTTATTTAGATCTTGATTTAAACAAAGTTAGAAAACACTGTGAGAAAATCAAACACAGATAGAGTATTAGATGATATTATTATCACTTTTTAAGTGTGATACATTGGAGAAAACTACTTATCTTTTAGAAAAATATACTAATATATTGATGAATAAAATGATATAATGTCTGATGTCTCTGGGATTAGCTTCAAAATAAAATGGTGAGGTTGGGATGAGGGATACAGATGAAACAAGATTTGTCACAAATTGATAATGGTTAATATTGTGTGATACGTACATAGGGGACATTATACAAACTTCTGTTTTTTAGTATATGTGTAAAGTTTTTAATATTAAAAAAATTTAGTTGATTTCTATGGAAGAGAGAAAGAATGAATATTGGTGGAAACTAGCAATTTTCTACCTCAGTATATGTAAACATTTATATCCATTTTATAGATGAAAAACTGTGACTTAGGAAAAGGAAATGGATGGAATCTTAGGGAACACCAGCCTGTAATGGGCAGACTTAGGAAAAGGAACAAAAAAGGAGGCAGAGAAGATAAGGGACTAGCAGGAAGATCAGGAGAGAATGGTGCCATAGAAGTTGAGTTGCAGTTTGGAAAGGAAGACGCTCACAAAATTAGTTGATTTTTTAAAAAAGAAAATTCATTAATCAAGTACTTATGAAAAGCTCACTGACCTTCAGGAACACACCTTGAGTCAGACAACATGAGATTTATTAATTAATTTATTTAGGGACAGGGTCTTGCTCTGTTGCCCAGGCCGGAGTACAGTAGCACAATCATAACTTACTGTAGCCTTGAACTCCTGGGCCCTAGTGATCCTCCTGCCTCAGCTTCCTGAGTTGCTGGGACTATAGGTGCATGTCACCATGCCTGTCTAACTTTTTAAATTTTCTGTAGAGATGGGGTCTTATAATACTATGTTGCTCAGGCTAGTCTGGAACTCCTGAGCTCAAGCAATCCTCCTGCTTTGGCCTCCTAAAGTGCTGAGAGTACAGGTGTAAGCCACCATGCCTGGCCCAAAGTGAGATTTATTTAGCTTGCTACAGCAAAGGAGGAACCCCTCCCTGAGGAGTTGGGGCGTTCTTGGTAGGGGTTTTTGGTAATGGGGTTGAAAATCCTTCTTACAGGATATGGGTTTATGTTGGATGATGTCTTAGTCTGTTTGGGCTGCTATAACCAAATACTATTTAGCCTAGGTAGCTTATAAACCACTGAAATGTATTTCTCACAGTACTAGAGAGGCTGGGAAGACCAAGATTAAGGCACTGATGGATTTGGTGTCTGGTGAGGGTTGTTCCTCATAGCCAGCACCTTCTGGCTGTGTCCTCACATGGTGGAAGGGTAACTGAGCTCCCATGGGCCTCTTTTATAAGGCACTAATCTCATTCATGAGCATTTGCTCTCATGACCCAATTACTTCCAAAAGGCCCCACCTCCTAATACTACCTCCTTGGGGGCTAGGATTCAACATATAAATTTCAAAGGGACACAAACATTTAGCCCGTAGCAGATGACTCTAGGGAGGGTTTAATAAAACAGGGGCCATGCTGGATTGGACATTGTCTAGAAGCTGGGATATCTGAATAATTTTCTCTAGGTTGTGGGAAGGTTAAAGCAGGGCTGGATGCACATTTCGTAAAGAATCATCTGTCACTTGTTGAACAATAGAAGGCCATGGTTAATCATTTTTCCTGGGTGCCAAGTGGTCTTATCCCATCTTGTTTGAGCTGTGAGCATTATTTATGTTCAGTAAGGAACACCATGGCCTAGTTGTCAGGAAAGTCACTTTTCACCTTCCTAGTACTCTATGAAGAGTTTTATACTGAGGTTGCAGCTCTGGGTAACAGAGGCTCTAACCCCGAAAGACATGAAAGTCAGCTTGTGGTTTGAAGGCCAATCAGGTGGAGTTTAGGGAAGACGTCTTAGCACCTAACACTTTGGGTAAACTTCTTTTCTTTAAGAAGAGCACATACAAGCATCTAAAATGAGAAGAGAGAAATGACAGAGACATAAATTGTTCTCCAATGTTGTGAACACACATAAATCTCACAGTCGCAGGCCTGGCATGGTGGCTCACGCCTGTAATCCCAGCACTTTGGGAGTCCGAGGCGGGTGGATCACCTGAGGTCAGGAGTTTGAGACCAGCCTGTCCAACATGGCAAAACCCCATCTCTACTAAAAAATACAAAAATTAGCTGGGCACAGTGGCAGGCACCTGCAATCCCAGCTACTCGGGAGGCTGAGGCAGGAGAATCACTTGAACCTGGGAGGTAGAGGTTGCAGTGAGCTGAGATTGTGCCATTGCAGTCCAGCTTCGGAGACAGAGCAAGACTGTCTAAAAAAAAAAAAAAAAAAACTCAAAGTCGCAAAGTGGAATGAAACTAACATAATCAATTACCCAGCAAAATTCCATGTAGAAAGAATAAATAACCCATTACAATAAAAAATTAAAAGGAATCTCATTAATGGTTACAATCATCTTCTAGATTGTTTCAGAAACTATTAACAGAAATCCGAGTTATATTTCTTTAGTGCATTTCACACCATTAACTTTACATAAAGGGCAGCACCATCAAGAAATAAATGAAACAATTAAACTGGCATTGAGTGCAGAATTATTTAAGAAAATCACCATTTAAAAACCAAAACCATGGTGTTTTTCCATTTGTATTTCGGTATTGGCCATATCAAACAATTTCAACTAAAAGAAGAAAGAGTAAAGTAATTAAA